>NC_000014.9:71581409-71732925 GCF_000001405.40 Homo sapiens | reverse complement strand
GGGTTTATTTTTATCTGGCCCGGGAGTGGTAAGGGACAGAAGGCCCATGCCTGCCCTCTCTGCTGTTGAGGGGCAGCCCACTGGGTTCCATGGTCAAAGGTGTCCAAGGGGGTGTGAGGGGCACATCAAGGGATGTGAGTGTGCTGGGTTACTCAGACAGAGCTAAGACAGGAAGGTGATTTTAGGGGTGGAACTGGCATTATTCTTCTCTAGGATGCAGTCATCACACGAGCTATTCTTTGGACCAATTTTGGGTTGCAGCAGTCTAACATCCCAAGCTCTTCCTAAGGGGACATTTTGTTGAATACAAATATTAAACCATTGTAACAACAAACTGACATATTAACAACTAAGATCTGCTTGGCAGGGAGGACTGGGCAGAGTGAGCCACCCTGAACACTGAAGGCAGCTCCTATTGCTCAGGTTCATGCAGGCAGATAACAGGAAGGGCGGGCTGCTGGGGTCCAGGGGAAACGACGCTCATGACATAGAAATGCCCTCAGTAGGCAGAAGCTGGGTGGAAGCCAGGGCAGAGCACACCACTCCACGAGAAGGAGCACCCTTGGAAGGTGACTGCGACACTCAGGTCCATGCAAACACACAGCTAAAGCTAAATGCTCAGCTAGAATATTTAAGTGACTCCAGAAAGACCTGTTTACCAGGAGTTAAAGATTTTCATGTATTATGACAGCCCGGTAAGCCAGTGTATTAAATGCTTTGTTTTCCCTTTCAAATTACGAAAAGAACTTCTCTGAAGTACAGCTGCTGGTTATTACTGTGCTCAAAATTAGCAAAATCATGAGTAAATGGAAGTTAACAAACACTGCAAGATATTAAATGTTCAGTTCTACTTAAATGTGCTCCTACCAAGGGTAAGTAGGAGGGGAGATAATTCTGTGTGTAACTCACAACCCTTCTGCCCTTTTATCTCTGGGGCCCGAATTTCCATGTGGGGGATAAAAGAAGTCACCCTTCCTCATCCCCCAAACACATTTCAGTGGAAGTCACCAAGCAAGGCAGGGCTGAGGGATCAGCCCAATGAGGACTGCCTGGTTAGGGGGTGAAATCACTGCAGCTGCTATCTTATTCAGGAAAACAAGAAAAAGTGAAGGGAAGGGGCTCAGAGAGGGCTGCCTGTCCCTGCCTTTCCATTGTGGACTCACATGGGGCCTCTAGTCCCAGGACTCCTCGTCTGGACAATGACCACGTGTGGGACACAGATTTCTGGGCTGTTCTTTCGGAATGTAGGCTTCTACTACTCAGGGCCTACTCTGATATGACACATGCAGAGAAGACTTCACAAAGGGGTTACCTTTACACTGCAAAGGCAAATTAAAAGTACAGAGAAATAAGAGAGCAATCAAAGTAAGGCAGGAATAATGGAATTCACGGAAGACTGACCCCGATGTAGGGAGAGAAGAAGAGAAAAAGGTTAGGGGCAGGAGGTCACTACCAGAAGGCTTGTTCTGGAGTCTGGTGACAAAAAGTGGTCATTTCATGTGCCAACCTTGGTTCATCGGAGGTGACTTCCTGGCGCAAAGACAACCCAGATTTTAGCTGCAGGTGGATGGAGCAGCTTTATTTAAGGAGATTTAAGGAGCAGGGGAAGCTGGCATGATCCTTGGGGCGAGCAGGGTGGGTGGGACTGCGCTGCTGAACAGTGAGTAGGACAGAGACATGGAGGAACATTCATGAGCGTGGGCTGAGAGCTCAAAAATAAGGGAGCAAAAGCAAGAGATGTAAAGAAATTACTGTTCCAGAGAAGCAGCAGAAGGAAAAGAAACATGGGTATGAATGGACACTGGAGATATAAAAGCTGCAGCAGAGTTCACCAAAGGAAAAAGGACAGAAGGGAGGAAGGGTGACAGCAGTGCATCCAGCAAATGATCAAGAACACTGGTTCCGTGACAGGCATCTGCTGTGCTGGGCCACAGCTATGAGGGGAGGTGTAGAGCCCTGGAATGGGGTGGGACAGAGACAGGAAAAAGGGAAAAACCAAATTTAAATCCCGAGTGCCAGAAAGTGGCCCTTAATAAAACTGGGATCTAGTTGGGTCACAAAGCAAACAAGGCATATGTGGACCAGGTGCAAGAACATGGAGGTACCCATCATCCACAAACCTTTTCCTTACATAATGCTTGCCTGCTCACTGCACGAAGAAATCAATGAGTCAACAAATGAGTGGTTGACACCACAGGCAATTTCCTTACAGCCTGGGAAAGAATGACAGCAATGGCAAGTCTGGGTTCTTATGGTAGCTACAGGAAGCAGTGGATACCACTCTCTAAGAACTAACTAATCTAGTGCTAGCCAAATTTGCTCAATCATAACAGCAGCTGGCATGGTTGCTAAGAATACCAATTCCCAGACTATTCTTTTGGAGATTCAAACTCAGGAGGTCTTGGGTCCAGTGTGGGAATCTGTTATTTCTAGCAAGCAACCCAGGTGACTATGGTGGTCTGGGATTACAGGAGAGAGAGGGCAAATGAGGAAGGGGCGGGTGAGCTGAGACCATCTGAGCATGGATACAGGACCCCTCTCTGAGCACATGAGTGGCAGCCACGTCTGGGGACACTGACCATCATCAACAGGGCCATCCAGGCTGCAGCTGAAAGACCACTTACCATGCAGCGATTTCATTCCTAAGGTGTAAGAAGGCCTCCTCAACGGGAGCGACTTGGGGAGAGAAGGGTACGTGCTACTGAAGAGGACGTCGTTGGGCAGGGCTTGGTCCAGAAGTGACGCCCTGGAGGTGAAAAAGTGCTCCCTCTGGCTATTGTAAATGCTCTCGTCCGACAGTGTTCTGTGCAAGGCCCGCCGTGAGGTGGGGGTGCTGGGGAAAGGAGACTGAGGAGAGGAGAGTGCGTGGAACTGAAAAACAGGATCAAGACAAAAGAAAGTCAATTTTCTGGTTCAGATCCCTGAGACCAAGGTTGGGGGAGGGTGGGATAACCAAGTTACTGCTCCAGACACACCCCTAGCAAGGAAGCTTCAGGGCTCATTGTCTATTTCTACAACCTCAAGGAGCTAACCCAAGAATTCCTGGTCATTATTCCTTAGCCTGGCATGCTGCCTGCAGTCTATCAGTGCTCCCTATGTGATTCAGGTATGTGATTAAGTGGACCTATCAAGATCGTGTGTGGTTAAAAACAAGACTTTAGGATCAGACAAATGTGGGTTTTATTTGAATCCTGTGTCTCTGACCAAATCATACAATCTCTCTGAGTCTAATTCCTCATTTGTACAACGGGAGCACAAAACCTCTCAGGATTACCACAGGGATTAAACAAAACGCTGGACTGAGCACAATGGCAGGTGTCAGTGGCATGATGAAATGGTGTTATGGCCCCTGGGGGAAGAGAGAGCCACAGTGCCAAGAGGGTATCCTGACAAGCTTGTCGGATGATAACATGCTTGCTGGGCAACAAGGGTATTTGATCATCAAAATATTTTAACTCACATAGCAGGTAGCTCTTGATTAACTACTAACTTACACCAACTGAACCTATCGAGGTAGATAAATTTCATGAGTTTTGGAGAAAATTCATTTTTTGAAGATGCATTTCTATTCATGAAATAAGAATAGGGTAGGCTGGGCGCGGTGGCTCATGCCTGTAATCCCAGCACTTTGGGAGGCCGAGGTGGGCAGATCACTTGAGGTCAGGAGTTTGAGACCAGCCTGGCCAACATGGTGAAACCCCGTCTCTACTAAAAATACAAAAATTACCCAGCCGTGGTGGTGCACGCCTGTAATCCCAGCTACTCAGGAGGCTGAGACAGGAGAATCGCTTGAACCTGGGAGGCAGAGGTTGCTGTGAGCCATGACTGCACCACTGCACTCCAGCCTGGGCAAGAGAGTGAGACTCTGTCTCAAAAAATAAAGAAAGAATAGGGAAGTCAGCTTTCTAAATGACAAATAATTATATATTTAAATATACATGACAAATAGTTCCAGATGTATCTCTTATCTTTTGCCTCTGTGACCAAATTTGATTTTACTTGAGATTTTTTCTGCAAATAGCAAGCTTCTGAGTATCTCTTCACTGAGAACAGCAGATACCTTAAAAATAGCAACCTGAAAGGCAACAGAGCATTTGACCCGTGAACAATAAAGTTATCCTTATTCATTTGCTCTTAGGCCACTGTCTGCCTCGATAGGGAAAATGATGTGGAGAACAGGTGAAGATGTGAGGAGGGTGTCACTGCTGGTTGAAAGCCACCCTGGGACTTCCCATGACACTCTGAAGGGGCAGAGAGAGAATGATTTAGCAAATGCTCCATTTAGTGGGCTGATTACAGACCCAGAAATACAGTGGATACACAGGGCCTAGCATGCTTCCGCTCAACAAGCCAGGGGTGAATCAGGTCCAGGCTACCCTCAATGTGGTATGCACAGCTGCTGCATAAATACCAAAAGATTATGAATCAAACACATTGTGAATACACCCAAGATGTGACCAACTGGGTAAAAATTATTCTCACTTTAAAAAAATTCCTGATGAATTAAATCCAAGGTACGTATGTACTTGTCTAGAAACTAAATTGCTGTGATAAATGCTTTGAGAGAGAGAACTTGGAATGAAAGTGATAATTTCCCTTCTCTTTTTGTGGAGAAGAGTGAGCATTAGAGCCATTATATGGCTTGCTAACTGTAATTTTCTTAAAAAATAAAACCAGATTAAAAAATAAAACCAAATAAAACATCTCCACCTGCAAGGTTCTAGGACTATCACATAAGGCTCCTGCCTGCCAGGTCAGATCTCAGATTTCTGTATGAAAAAACTGCTGCTAAATAGTTTTCAGCACCCCTGGTTTTAGTAAAGGGATTTCCTTTTCCAGTATCCCCAGCCTGATGGTTTTACAGGTGTGAAACCCTCCGCCAATTCTAGTTTCAGCCTCTTTGGGAAATGTTAATATGCTTCAAGGCCATGAACAGCTACCTTGAAGAGCTTCTTTAAGCAGGGTGCCCTATGAAAAGTTAAAACACCCTGCAGTGAAGGGAGGCAGGGCAGGAAGCAGAGGAAGCAACCTACCCCGAAGGCGTTCTGCTCATTAAAAGGTAGGAGAACCCAGCCTTGTCCAAGAATGTTGAGATGGCCCCTTGCCCCATCCTCTTTAACTCCAGTCTTAAAGGTGTGCAGAACTAACTGCTTCCCAAGAGCAGCCCCTGCCTGCCTTGCAGGTTGTACCTGGGATTGCCCAGGAGCGCTGCCTGGTGCTGCCAGCCCTTGGGAAAGAATCGCAGTGGAGTGGGATGGCACTGGAAGTGGGATCACACCTGGAAGGGATTTCAGAGGACATTCGAGAAGGGGGCTGGTTCTAACTTGTGCTCCAAGGAGGCCCTAAGGGTTCCTTATAGCACCACTGCTACGGAGAGGTTCAAGTGGGACCCAGGAGTCCAGACCATCCCATCCCTCCCATAAGAGAAACTCTACTGTCTGAATTCTATATAATGGGGTTCCATGTGTGATTTAAAAAAAAAAAAAAAAGGCTTCCTGAGCTTTAAGACTGGTTGGGCACCACTGATCTCCTCTGGTCCTCTATCTCACAGTTGAGGAATGGGGCCTGGAGAGGTGGCGTTTTGTTTCATGCCAGTCTCCTGTTCTCTCATTCTTTTCAGTGCCCCTGGCTATTAGTGACATGTGTCACCTGCACTCACAAGAAACTCTTCCTAAATACTGGAGCCACACGAAGCCACCTCCTTTGGTATATACCTGAGAGCACTGGCACTACTGTCTGTTCACTTGTCAGACTGTATGCCACCCTTGGGGAAAATAACGTTATCCTATCTCTGCTTGCCAGTGAGGTTTCTTAGAGTGCTGTAGCTCTGCCACTGTTCTTGAGGTCCTTGCTCTGCTGACAAATGAGCCTGGGAGTGACCCTGCCACTCAATATTAACAAAAACTCATAGGTAGCACTGGCTATCCAGGAAAATCAATGTGGCACATGAGTGGCTTTGGAGTGTCACAGCCCAAAGCTGGCCATGACACCTAGTATCCTGAAGCCTGAGGCAGTGACTCAGAGCCTTGAGCCAGGAGTGGCCTGGAAGACCTCTCAAGGGCATGCCAGCCTTACTGACACAGCAGAGCCTCCATCATTCAGATGACGACTCTCAGAAGACAAAGGGAGCTACTAAGCTGAACTCATCTGAAACTAAACCTGCTCAAATAAGATGAAACTGGAGAGAGAAAACCTGGGCCTATTCCCAGTTCCTGCTTACAGCCTTCTCACTGTGATGGTTTAGCCAGCAGAAGCACTTTCTTCGCGGAGTCTCACAGTAATACAGTCACAACATAAAGAAAGCACACTCCTGTTTCAAATAGGAATGCTAAAGTAATTCATTTTGGAAATAAAAGCCAAGACCTGGAATAAGGACAAAATCAGACATTTGCCTTCAATTATTTCTACTGCATAAGTAAATCAAAAGAATGAAGGCTCTGAGCTTGCCTCTTGCCAAAAATGTTAAACTAGGAGTTGGAAGAAAAACTCCCTTCAGGGCAGGTTTTATTTCCCTTTAACCTCAAAGGAAAAATCTGAAATAATTTTTATTTTGAACTGGTACTTGAACATTTTAATATACCTCTTTGGGTTTTGATGGATAAAGAAAGAAGTTTCAAGCACTGTCTTTCGCAAGGTTGCTAAGGAAACCATTTGTGCCCTGAATGATGAGTCAGAACTGTTAAGTGCTGGCTTATGAGACGGAAATTACAGAAATCAAGAATGGCTACATCTGTACAATGATTTATTAACATAAATCATGTTAACAAATCATTTATTTCTCGACAAAACTCTAAAGTGGTCCTTGGGGGTACATTCAGTTCCTATGAATGTTGATTTTTTAGGTTTAGGGGGTTTATCTGGCCTATCTGGGGAGATGCATGCACACGCACACACACGCTAGCATGGTGCTAGGGAAGCCTGAGGGCGGCAGCCCCACACAGCTGCTCCACCCGCCATGCCTCTTGCACTCTGATCACAGTCTGAAGCTGGTGTGTGGTTTAGGAAATATTCTAGCTTCCATTTCAATCAATTCAATTCTCAAGGTTCTTCTTAAAGCTTTCTAGTCTCTTCAAATAGACTACAAATCATCCACCTAAGAACCTAGAGAACAGAAGACTTCAAAGTTTGCAGCCATGACCTTTCTGGGGGTGCACTCCCTTCTCCTAGGAGACCCAGAAGACCTCAGACAGAAATACCTATACTCAGAGTGACGTAACTTCAGGCCCAGCTCAATAAACACCCATTCCAATCCCCGGGGGCGTGAGACTCCACACTTTATAGAACAAGAAAGGAGAGAGCCTTAAGTGAGTTTCCAAAGGTCTTACAAGCTGAGACGAGTACACAAACCTTTCCATGTGGTCACATAAAGGTCTGGACAACACAAAAACGTACACACTGGACAGGTATTCAGGACTTGGTGCAGAGAGACTGGGTTTTAGAGAAGACATTTACAGTCTGGAATTCTGAGCATAAAATAGAAGGCTTTATGAAGTCAAGAGAGTTTGGAAAGTTCTGAAGGTGTGTGGGTAGACTTAGATTGCTGGATTGAAGCAGCAGCTGTACATTTACTTTTGGGGGTGTGGCAATGAGAGCGACTGTCTATCAGGCAGTTTCTCTGAGTGAAGAGAATACCATATATGGCCAGTAGGTTTGCCAGACAGGGTCAGGAGCAAATGGGGCCATTTCTGAGAAGACGAGGACCCTCTGGACAGAAGACAGTAAAACCCTTATGGAAAACGTTCTAGCTTTCCATAGGAGCCACAGGTGTCTCTGCACAGTTTCCAAGAAGTCATATCACCTAAGTGATGTTCAGGGAATCATGCACTCTGAGCAGGACACAGCAGAAGAATAAACAGCTGTAGGGGTAGGACCAGGTAATAGAAACCATGACTAATGAGATGTGGCTGCAGGGACAGAGCACTGTCAAACACTGTGGACCAGTTATCAGGGAAATGGGATGATAGCAGGAAGTGAGACTTAGTGAAGAGCAGCCAGTAACCAACACTTTCTGGAAAGTGTGACTATGGTTAATAGCCCCATCATGTCTGGCTTGTTTCTAATTGCCATCTACCCTGAGCTCTGTCTTGTACCTTAAAACTCTTCTGTGATTCAGGAGTTGGGCTTTCAAGATCAATTAGTTTCTTTAGATCTTCTTCAATGGTGGACTTGGAGGTTGGCTTAGGAGATGCCCGGAGGTCTCTGGTTGAGGCACGCAGCCTGGTGTGGGCTATTTCATTGCCATCGCTCTGATGACGCCTGGACAAAAAAGGGAAGAGATGATAGATACCAACTCAACAAGGCTGGCTCAAGGGCATGATGGGCTCTAAAGGATGTAAGTCAATATAAGTCAATAGAGAAATATTATGTGGAGAAACAGATAATTACTTCTGTTTATATGCGAATCTACTCATATAAACGCTTACTGAAGAAACAAAACCAATTTGAAACACAAAATAAAATCTGATGAATAAGTCACTCTTTTAAATAAAGCTATTAGTTTTACTAAGCCAAAATTAGCAACAGATTTACTAAACGACCACAGGGTATACATCCAAAATGCAACCTTTGCACAAACGAAAACAAAATAATTGAATGAATCATTTAATTTTTTGATGTACTACCTTGTCAAAAAGTCCTTTATTTTCAGGGGTACTCACTCACTTTGTAATATTCCCTCTGGTGCCTACTGGCCTAGTTAAGAATTACACAGGAAGGCTGTGATTAATATAATCAAAGGGACTAGTATGGTCTTAGCACCAGAGGGGCAATTATTCTGAAGTGTATCCTTCAAACACACTCTTTTCAAGATCTAAGATTCTCAAATCCTAACATTTTGCAATAAATCTTATTTAAGGAATGAGGCAGAGAAATAATTTAAGAAAATATTACTTAGGAAAAAAAATCATAATCCCACCAACAGACCAACTCCTGCCAACCCCCTAGCCCGGCCTCTTTTGTTGTAAGAGATCACGCCAAGCTTTTCTATTCTCTGTCCTGTTAAAAGCAAGCCACCAGCAAGGGAAGGAAAGTAACTCTTACTTTCTCGTGTCCATAAATCCCACGGAGTTTATGGTTCCTTCGGGTTTTTTCCATCCAATCAGGTACTTGCTAGTAGCGCCCTGGCGAGGGTAAAAACTCCTAGGACCAGAGGAGGAGGAGGAAGAGGAGGAGAAGGATGGTGCGAGCTGTGAGGGGGCAGCTGGATGAAGCTCTTCTTTAGGTGAACTCCGGGCACTGGTGAAAACCACTGGGCTGGCAGAGTGTCGGGAGCTCATGGTACTGAGGAGAAGCAGGGCAAAGACATGTGTATCTCAGGATCATTATGTCAGCTATAAAAGTGCTGTCCGGGGTACGGGTGATGGCTGGGTTGAACAACAGTGAATTTTTCATGAACTATTAACAGCGATGCCTGGCTGGCCTTCCTGGCTTTCTCATCATAATTTAAATGTCTGCTCTCAAAGTGACAGATGACCACTAGGGCTTAGTCTGCACTTTAAAAAGTAAAAATACTTAAGACTGTCAGGGACACTTTCAACTTTTTTCACTTTTTTCACATTGGCACCACTGACGTTTGTCACGGAAGTCTGGCAGTGGCAAGAGACAGAAGAAAGAGAAGTAAAAGGTCTACCGTCTCCATGCCTCTGTCTTGCTTTCCTCACAACTAGGGATTGTGGTGATGCTCTCTGGGACCAAGCTGAGGAGGGGAGAGGAGACTCAAGCAGGGCTATGGCTCTTCAGACTCACATCCAAGGCCAAGGGGCACAGTGAGTGCTCCTTCCCCATGGCAGCTGGCATTCCTATTGGCTCTGGAAGCTGCTGGTCGATGTATTTCAAACATCGGTTAAAGATTACAAAACTAGGGCAACATTGGTTAAAGATTACAAAACTAGGGCTGGGCGGGGTGGCTTACGCCTGTAATCCCAGCACTTTGGGAGGCTGAGGCTGGTGGATCATCTGAGGTCATGAGTTCGAAACCAGCCTGACCAACATGGCGAAACCCTGTCTCTACTAAAAATACAAGAATTAGCTGGGCATGGTGGTGTGTGCCTGTAATCCCAACTACTTGGGAGGCTGAGGCAAGAGAATCGCTTGAACCCGGGAGGCAGAAGTTGTGGTGAGCCAAGATCACGCCACTGCACTCCAGCCTAGGTGACAGAGTGAGACTCCATCTCAAAAATAAAAAAGATTATACAACTAAAGTCTGCATGACTAAAGAGTCCAAAACTCTGGGGTTTCAAGAGTTCCAGAGCAGAAAAAGGCAAGATTTTCAAAATAAGGGATGAGAGTTTTAGTTGACTAAAACTCATGTTAAAAGTGGAAGGCCTTTAACTGTAGGATTTTCATACTTCCTGCCCAGTGGTCTCACAGGACCACACTATTTGAGCCTTTCTGAGTTCTCCAGCATGGGGTGAGACCAAAGATGGCTGACTCTTGCTACAACAGACTTTCAGTTATTTTTACTTGAGGTTTAATTAACAGTATGTGGTCCCAAAGCGTTCCTCGATGGCACTTTCATTTGTCAAAAATGAATCGTCCTGACCTAAATAAAGTACAGACTCTAGTTAATAATACTGTATCAATATTGACTTGGGGAGGAAGATAACTGAATAGAACCCTCTAACAACTGTGCCTCCACAGGAACACCAAATTGAACAACTATCCACACAAAAAAGCACCTTCATAAGAATCCAAAATCAGGTGAGTGATCACAATACCTGCTTGTCACATCATATCAAGGGGAAAGAACCACTGAAGAGGGTGGGAAAGATGGTCCTGCATCGCCTATGCTCCCTCCCCCACCCCTGGCACAGCAGCTTGGAGAGAGAATCTGTGCACGTCAGAGAGGGAGAGGGTGTGGGACTTTGCATTGGAACTCACTGCTGGCCTGTTACAGCAGAGCACAACACTGAGCAGAATTCTGCTGGCACCCACGGACAGAGCATTTAGACCAGCTCTGGGCCAGAGGGGAATTCTCAGCCAGAGTGGGAGGAAGCTGAGTCCCAGCTGGTTCTGCCACCAGCTGACCAAGGTGGCCTGGGGCCCTGAATACATATGAGTGGCAGTCAGGCCACAGGGACTGCAGTCCTTGAACAAGCCCCAGAGCTGCACTGGTTTAAGAAGAAGTGGACTTGGGGTGCACATGACCCCATGTGACACCAGCCATGGTGGCCAAGGGAATGCCTACACCACCAGTCCTCCAACTCCAGGCAGGGAAGTTTGGGGAGAGGCTCCTTCCACTTAGGGAAAGGAAAGGAAAGACTACAGAGGGCTTTGTCTTACAACCTGAGTAGCAGCTCATCCACAGGAAAATAAAGCAGGTGGAATCCTGAAGCCCTCGATTCCAGAACTTTGCTCCTGAGTGGCGTTCCAGACCCACCCAGGGCCAGAAGAGAGTCTGCTGCCCTGAAGCGAAAAGCCCAGACCCAGCAGGATTCACCACCTGCTGACTAACCAGCCCCTGGGCCTTGAGTAATCATTGGTGGTAGCCAGACAGCAGTCACCACGGGCCTTGGGTGGGACCCCGTACCGTGCTATCTTCAGGTCTGACCCTGTGCAGTGCCAGCTGTGGTGGCCATGGGAGTGCTTGAATCACCTTCCCCAACTCTAGGCAACCCAGCACAGAGAGAGACTCCTGAGAGGGAAGAGAGAGAGAGAGACATTGCCTAGCAACCCAGAGAATTCTCCCTTATCCTGTCCAAGCCCATCAAAGCAGTGCTTCTTGGAGTTGGTGAGTCAAAGCGTTCCTGGACTTAGGGTGCCCCCTAGTGCTGATACATCTACAGTGACCACAAACTAAGATCACAACAGTCCCATTTGAATACACGGAAAGCCTTTTCCAGAAGGACGGGTACAAACAAGCCCAGGCTGCCAAGATTGGAATAAATACCTAACTCTTCAATGCTCAGACACTGATGAATGTACACAGGCATCAAGAACATCCAGGAAGACATAACCTCATCAAATGAACCAAATAAGGCATCAGTGACCAATCCCAGAGTGACACAGAATTCAGACAGAGAATTCAAAATACCTGTCCTCGAGCAAGTTCAATAAACTTCAAGATATCACATAGAAGGAATTCTGAATTCTATCAAAAATTTAACAAAGAGATCAAAGAGATTGAAATAGTAATTTAAAAATCAAGCAGAATTTCTGGAGTTGAAAAATTCAATTGACAAAGTGAAAAATGTATCAGTTTCTCAACAGCGGAATTGATCAAGCAGAAGGAAGAACTAGTGAGCTCAAGACAGGCTACATGAAAATACACAGTCACAGTAGAAAAAAGAAAAAAGAATAAGAATGAAACATGCCTACAAGAGCTAGAAAATAGCCTCAAAAGGGTAAATTTGTTTTTCTTTTTTTTTTAGACAGTCTCCACCCAGGTTGGAGTGCAGTGGCACTATCTTGGCTCACTGCAACCTCTGCTCCCAGGTTTTCTACTTCAGCCTCCTAAGTAGCTGTGATTACAGGCACCCGCCACCATGCCCAGCTAATTTTTGTATTTTTAGTAGAGACAGAATTTCACGATGTTGGCCAGGATGGTCTCAAACTCCTGACCTCAAGTGATCTGCCAGCCTTGGCCTCCCAAAGTGCTAGGATTACAGGCATGAGCCACCATGCCTGTCCTGTCAAAAGGGTAAATCTAAGAATTATTGGCCCTAAAGAGGATGTAGCGAGAGAAGGAGATCGGGGCACAAAGTTTATTCAAAAGAATAATGAACATTTCCAAACCTGGAGAAAGATATAAATATCCAGGTACAAGAAGGTCACAGAACTCCAAAAAGATCCCACCCAAATAAGACTACTTCAAGGCATATATTAATCAAACTCTCAAAGGTCAAGGATAAAGAAAGGATATCTGAAAGTAGCAAGAAAAAAGAAGCAAATAAAATAAAAGGGAGCTCCAATACATCTGGCAGCAAACTTCCTGGTGGAAACCTTACAGGCCCACAGAGTGGGGGATAACATATTTACAGTGCTGAAGGAATATTGATTCTCAAGCTATAATAAATGTACTACACTAATGTAAGATGATGCCAACACGGGAAACTTGGTGAGGGGTGTATGGGAACTCTATCTTTGCAACTTTTCGGTAAATTTGAAGCTATTTTGATATTAAAAAGTCCCACAATAGGCCAGGTGCAGTGTCTCATGTCTGTAATCCCAGCACTTTGGGGGCCAAGGCAGGCAGATCACCTGAGGTCAGGAATTTGAGACCAGCCTGGCCAACATGATGAAACCCTGTCTCTACTAAAAACACAAAAATAGCTGGGTGTGGTGGTGCACACCTGTAGTCCCAGCTACTTGGGAGGCTAAGCCCAGAGAACTGTTTGAACCTGGGAGGTGGAAGTTGCAGTGAGCCTAGGTCAATAAACACTGGTGCTCAACATCATCGGTTACTAGGAAAATGTAAATTAAAACCACAATGAAGGACCATTACACACCTACCAGAATGGTTACATTAAAAGACTTATAATATCAAGTGCTGGCAAGGATGCGAAGCACTAGAGCTCTCATACACTGCTGGTGGGAGTGCTACTTGTTATGACCACTTCGGAAAACTAGTTCAGAGACCCTACTAAGTTGAACATATGTATATTCTTGACATGGATATTGCATTCCCAGAAACTCAAAAGAAACATATATGTATGTGTACAAAAGGACATGTACAGGAATTCTTAATATTGGCTGGGTGCAGTGGCTCACACCTGTAATGCCAGCATTTTGGGAGGCTGAGACGGGCAGATTACTTGAGCTCAGGAGTTTGAGACCAGCCTGGGCAATATGGCGAACCCTGTTTCCATAAAAAATAAAAAAAATTAGCCAGGTGTGGTGGCATGTGCCTGTAGACCCAGCTACTTGGGGGGCTGAGGTGGGAGGATTGCTTGAGCTCAGGAAGTTGAGGCTGCAGTGAGCCAAGTTCACACCACTATACTCCAGCCTGGGTGACAAAATGAGACTCTATCTCAAAAAAATAAAAAGAAGAGGAAAAAAAAAAGCAAAGATTCTGAATATCCAAAATTGGAAACAATCCAAATGTTCATCAACAGTATAGTGGACAAATGAGCTGCTATATTCTCACACTGTAACTATAACATAGCCATGGAGAAAAGCTAATGTTACCTGCAACACATGGATAAATCTTAGCAACATAATGTTGACTTAAAGACACAGGGCACAAATTAATGCAGATAGTATGATTCTATTTATATTATATAAAGTCCCAAAACAGACAAAATAAGGCTATTATTTTCTTAATTTTTGTTTTTGCTTTTGAGACAGGGTCTTGCTCCATTGCTCAGGCTAGAGTGCAGTGGTGCAATCATAGCTCACTATAGCCTCAGCCTCCTGGGCTTAAGCGATCCTTCCACCTTAGCCCCCCAAGTAGCCAGGACTACAAGTGCTCACTGCCACACCTGGCTTTCACATGTATTCTTAAAAGGATAACTGGTTAAATAAGATCAACCCCGATCCTTGGTTTTATCTATGAACACAATGGGCTGACACTAGCTCCCAGGTGTGAAATGCCAGTGCACTTCTTTTCACTAGTGGTTCTAATTGAGACAGCCCCATTTAATTGATTAGATTTAGGCACAAAGGTTATGAGAGAAACAAATGAACAATTCACTGGTATGGCTTTCTTCTTTAATGCACACAACTCACAGCATGAAGCTGTGCACTTCAGTACACAGGGCCTCTAATTCAGTGGGCCTGTGAGCGTCACCTGGGAGCTCTTCTAAAGCATACTTTCTTGTGTCCCAATCCTAGATATTTAATTTAGTAAAGGAGGAATGATGCCTGGAAGATTAGGTAAAATGTCCTCCAAGTGTTCACACCAACTGAGGCCTACTGCTCACTCTCATCCAGTTGAATTACACACATTGTTATGACGGTCAAAATCCAGTTCCATATTGTCTAGGTGAAGAAGGTGAAGTCGCGGCAGCAGTGTTTCTCAAGCCACAGAACATGGCCACCTGTAGGTACTGATGTAACTGGGGAATCCTGGGCTTGTGTTAGATCTTCCAGAGCCCCAGAAATCTGTATTTTAACACACTTCCAAAGTATTCTCATGTTTTTTTGGGTTGAAGAAATACTGCATTAGCCCCTCAACTCCTCCCACTCTAAAATGAGTCTGTCTCTGGGCACAGCTGTGGGTGGGCTCCTTGCAGCTGACCAACCCACTGGCCTGAGACTGCGTCAAGGGATGTGCACCCATACACTTCACCTAAGAATCTCTGAAGTAGATTAAATTACAATACAACTACCATGAAGCTATCAGCTTCATAATTTTTAAGGGGAGCTGTGTGGCTGGGCTCTTTCATTATCCTGGAAATTTCATGTTAATTTAATAGGCTGCAATTTCATTTTACTCACAGAGAGTTAAATCTTGTCATAGGAATTACGTAAGAAGGGAATGAACCAATAATATCTAACAAAAGGAAAAGAGCATTAGATGTAACAGGAAATAATAACTGCAATATGTTACTTTTCTCAATGTATAAGAAGTGAGTTTAACTGAGTATGGCCAAATTGGAATCACTAGAAATTTACTCAAGTTGTCTCTAAATTCTACATGAAGAAACTACTAACTTTAATTTTTCTATAAGCTATAGGGCATTTCTCCTTTCCTAAAAAGGAACAACCTTAGATTCTGTCTGGTCATGTCAGGATATTAATTTTGAAAAGGAAGAGAGGATACACAAGTACATGATACCCCATATAAAAGAGGTCGGGCGCAGTGGCTCACACCTGTAATCCCAGCACTTTGGGAGGCCGAGGTGGGTGGATCATGAGGTCAGGAAATTGAGACCATCCTGGCCAACAAGGTAAAACCCCGTCTCTACTAAAATACAAGAAATTAGCCGGGCGTGAAGGCATGCACCTGTAGTCCCAGCTACTCGGGAGGCTGAGGCAAGGGAATCACTTGAACCTGGGCGGCAGAGGTTGCAGTGAGCCAAGATCGTGCTACTGCACTCCAGCCTGGCAAGAGAGCCAGACTGTTTCAAAAAGAAGAGAGGTAGTGAGGTCACCGAGGATCTGGGACAGCCTGAATCTGTCCAAACTTCTCATCTTGACCTGATGCTCAAATGAAACCATGGATCACGTGTACAGCAACCTGGTGATTTTACATTCCCAGCTGTGGCGAAGCTTTATAGGAGGGGATGCTAGATGACCAATCTGCAAAAAAGATGCTACTCTCAGCGGGTGCTGCTTTAAGGAGGACCTACATCTATTTGCTGACTTTGCCAAGCGATGAGCCACACAGGATTGGGAAGCCTGAATGTCATCAGTCAAGGCCCAGAGTGCTGAACCTATGAGGCCTGGGGAGACCACTGTGAATTCCTGCATCGTCACTGAGATCATCATATCCTGTGAAAAACATCTGCCAGCCACTGTCTGTGTTGTAGAAAGCTGCTGATGGGAAAACTTGGAGTCATCTACTATTTAGGAATGGCAAGGGGGTTTTAGACAAGCTTGGCCTGCTAAAGATGGTATTTTCAGGAAGCAGAGAGAAGCAATTAGTCACCTGTCAAATGGCTGTGGCAAAATCTGGGCAATGGCTGAATGCTGGTCTAATACCAAGGAGAGGAGAGCTGATCGGGTTTCCTGTGATTGCTTGTACAAATAACAAGCCTTTGGGTGACAGATAATGTGGAGGATAATGATTAAGGAGGACTCCTCCCACTGTGTTCAGCACTAGCCAGTTCTGTACTCTATCCAATAGAGTACCGTACGGAACACAATTTAGAAGACACTAATTCCAAAGGACTGGGGGAAAACAAGTGAAGTAGGGATGATTAAGTTGACAAAGAAGATATCCAAGTGACTGCAGTAAAGAAAAATTGTCCATCTATAAAAGGCAGAAATTTAACAGTATAAGGGCATATTAATACATACAGCATAGGGAAATGAGTGGCCAGCTATATGCAGCAGTAGAAGCCTCAGGGATCACCGTGGACCACAAGCTGAAAAGCCTGTAACGCTAAGCTATTTAATAAGGGGCTAACAAGATATCTATGAACATTATCATTTTATTGGGCATAGCTGAGAAGAGTGTCATGTCCAAGTTTTGCATCTAAAAAGGATAAAGAAAACAAAGCCAGATGCTTGAGAAGAGAAAATATGATTATAGGATGAAACACACAAAGTGTAGTTATAAGAGCTGTGGGAGATACCTGCTTGTTAAAAGAAAAGTCACTAGAAAATTGTTAAGGCAGGTGATGAAGAGCTTACAAAAGGAAATGACAAAAAACCTTTGGTCTTAAAATGACATTTACAGTTTGCAATACATTTGATAATCTTTTTTATTTTCAACAGACATGTAAAAACAGCCATTTAGTAGGTGGAACAGGATTTTGGTTTGGTGGTACTAGGCTATGCTAATGTGTATGACATGGCACATTACCAGCTGCAGGCTTTATCCATTAGCCACTGAGTTTCTGACCTGCTGTCTATTGTGTAGAATCTGAACAAGCTGACTGCTGAAATGCAGTTTGCTGGCCAGTGAACTGAAAGATGCAATAGTAAGCCATCTTCATTTGTCACCATGTGCTTGTATCTGTTTAATTTGTGCACCTTAAAATCCTATGGTGTATTCCATGGCCAATATGCCATCTCCTAGATTACAGATGAGGGACAAGCCAGGTGAAATGGTACAACTGGCCACAGGCCACATAGCTGACCAATGGTAGAACTGAGACTTGAACCAGGGTCTCAGGCTCCAAATCTATTTTCCTTATGTTCCTCTCCCAACTTGCCTGGGGGTAGAGAGCTATACCAAATTTTCCTTCTTTCTTTTTTTGCAAATGACCACGTTATAGTCAATAATCTATATCCAATAACTAGGTTAAGGCAAGCAGGGCCAACACATGTTCTCAGAATCTTAGATGTCAAAAATCTTCATGTTTAGAAAACACTCAGCTCATAAAAAGACATTTATTCTCTCTTAATTGTGTATTTGAGCTGTAGCTAGAGGAATGGAATTAAATATTGAAAAGGGAGAGGACTTATTATATACTGAAATTATTTAGAAAAGTTGTGTGGGCCAGGCTCAGTGGCTCATGCCGGTAATTCCTGCACTATGGGAGGCCAAGGTGAGAGGACTGCCTGAGCACAGGAGTATGAGACCAGCCTGGGCAACATGATGAGACCCTGTCTCTATAAAAATATTAAAAATTAGCTTAGCATAGTGGTGCATGCCTATAGTCCCAGATACTCAGGAGGCTAAGGTGGGAGGATCACTTGAGCCCAGAAGGTTGAGGCTATAGTGAGCTGCAGGGCCACCACTGAACTCTAGCCTGAGTGACAGAATGAGGGACCCTGTCTTTAAAAAAAAAAAGAGAGAAAAGCTGTGAAATCTCTTGAGATTATTTCCCTCCCCACTGCCCCAATAAAACAATTGTATGAATTCTCATCCTGGTAGAATGCTTTACATATGACGAAGAATGGGCTCTCTGCCCTTTCTGAATTCCTTTTGGCCTTATGATTTAATGACACTTGAAGAATTTGGGCTTGCTACATCAACTGAATGAATGGATTAGTTGCTTCATAGAACAAAGCAAAAAAATGTTTTGTTGGTGAGATCTGCATCAAGCATCTGTGGCTTGACAGAGGGCTCATTTTCTCAAGGTTCACTTGAAATTTCTTCCTCAGTGGTTCTATTTTTCAGTCTTTGAGGTTACTAAAAGTAACTGGTTCTGGATAAAATAACCACCCCCAAAAGCTGGAAGAGGTGTGGCAAGATCGCTTAGGCCAAATCACCTGGAGTTCTGCCATGTAACAGCAACATAGAACATAATCGTGAATGTTTATTGTATGCGGTGATGCAAAGCAAAAATTGCCAATTAAAATGATCCATACCCACAACCTAGGCTAAGGCAAATAGAGTCAACCACATCTCTTAAGAGAAGTTCTGGTTTTGTTATTTTAGAGGGTGAATTTTCATATTCTGAGTTAGTCCATAATATTTAGAAAAATAACATTCTCATCTTAAGGAAAAAATATAAAAGAGAGGCAATTAATTGTTAGTAACTAAAAAAAAAAACATTTCCAGGCAGAAAAGATTTAGAGAAGGAAATGTTACAGGTAAAGACAACGGAGTAACTTCTAAACAAAGATGGAAGGCATATTTCTCACATCCATAGGATGCCAATGAGGGTGCAGGGAACAGGGCATACACAGAGGCACACAGACAGCCCAGTGTGCCAGAGTAGCCTGAGGCAGTCCTAATGTTCAATGTAAACCACACATAAGAAGCCTTTCTTTTCCTCAGCTCTCAAGAAACATACAGCTTTTGTGGCATGAACCATCAACCAGAAAAAGCACATTCATGAAATTGAGCTGTGTTGACAACTGTGGGCAGGCATTTTTCTTGGTCTTTAACCAGTTCTTCCAGTGATAATGTCAGACACTGACCAACATATATCTAGATCCTGACTGATATTTGTATATTAGCTGTTCTAAAGTTTTTCCTTGTCATACTTCGTAGAGTTTACAAACTTTTATGTAGACATGACAGTTTACTAAGACTTCATGCTACACAAAGACTCTATGTATGCTCTCATACCTACACCTATAAGCACTGCAGCTCTGTGCAAATACTGATGCATCTGTACAATAACCTTCAAAATAGTTAGTGGTTTTCTAAGAGCCAGGAGTTGAGGATTTATGTAACTTTTGAACTGGTTTGAGTCATCAGGCAAAAAACATAAAGAAAAGTCATTCTTTCATTTTTTTGAGACAGTGTCTCACTATGTTGCCCAGATTGACCTCTAACTCCTGGGTACAAATGATCCTCCTGCCTCAGCCTCCTGAGCAGCTGGGACTATAGGCCCATGTCACCGTGCCCAGCTAGTTATTCCTATTTGCTCATTGGCATGTATTGAGTATCAATCTATTATGCTCATGTTGGCACGGCCTATGCAAATATACTTAGGATGAACATATTGGGTGAAAAATCCTCTTGTACTGACTAGATGGCAGTAAAAAGGTATATGTGATCGCATAAGTGGGTAGTAATTGGCTACAGGTGTCTGAGGGGGCCTTAGGGAAGCAAGAGGAAGGAGACCTGGAGAATAGCTGGCTAACAACCGTGGACACCAAAACAAGTCAGGTCAGTCAGTTACAGAAGAGATATCTATGTGCAAGCATGAGGTAGGGTTTTTAGCTTTCTCATGTGTGTTCTCAAATTAAGCTCCAACACCAGAAACAGCATTGGTCAGCAGGTCTAGAGGATTTTGGACTAACTGAGGAGGTCCTTGATTGCCACACAAACTGGCACTGCCTACTGCCAAGGCCAGAACGCTAAGAAGAAAATGAATGCTGCTTAAATTTAAGAATGTCCTTAAATTACTACTATCTTCACCTCTCCTAGGCTTACCACTAATCTTTTTTTTTTCAGTGGTTCATTTTAAGATCTGAAAGTGAAACAGCCATTACCAAAAAATAAAATAAAATAAATTTTCTCCCTAAATTTCCAAGCTTCATAAAGATACACATATATTCTAGGGAGCAATAATTTAGAGCAATTAATAGACGTTTTTAGTTATAGAAAGTTACCAGTATGTGTGGCTTCTTTTAATGACATTCAAATATAGCAACTCTATGTAATTACCAACCTGTATTAATGTAGCTCTCATGAGGAGCTACAAAAGATCTGCATGATCATCAAGAGGGAGACTAGAGGACAGAGAAGGTAGGAATGGAGCCCAGCCAGAAAGATGCAGTGAAACTTAATCACTGTAATTTAGACTTTGTCACTGAGTCCCAGGTACAAGCTCTTTTAAGCACTGTCAAGATATCTCTACATTAATTGCTGTTCCTGTCTTCTGAGGACACAAACACTCTAATTTGCTGTGATTTTAGTTTTTCTATAGCAATGTGCATTTGGTGGCTAAGTCCCCTTTCCTCCAGAAAAGGCAGGCTGCTAAAGCTCTGATTATCCAACTCACTCTGCCAAGATCAACATACCAAAGTCTCAAAACATCCCTACTTACCAGAGTCTAGAAATGAATGTGACTCAAATGAGTGGGTGAGAAGCTCTGCCACCCTCCCTGAATGGCCACATTCTTCTCTTCTCTAGTAAGTTTGACTTTCAATAGGAGAGTTATTTCTAAAGGATGATTTCAATGATTCTGCATTCTTCCAGTTAGAAGCAGAAAATTTAGATAATCCTTTGAGGCCTTCAGGCAGCTCCAGTCAGCACATTCAGATAATGCAAACCCAGATGCTTTTTTCAGGGAGCTTTGTTGATCCCCTGGGATTTGTTAGATAATGGCACAGCCGCACATTCTGTGCTTTGGTTTCAGGGGCCCAGCTCTTTCCAATCTCACTCCATGGTGATGCCATTTGAGACAAGATCTCTATAACCAACTTTCTTCTGCCATCACATTGGACCAGAGAAATATTTTCAGATGGAAGACATTCTTAAAAAAAGGCATCCTCCTTTCAAAATGACAAATTGAAAACCAAAGAAATAGGAGTCAAACTAAACTTAAAAACCAGAGAGAAACTATTCAGATATGCAAAATGTTCTAAGTCAATGCACAGTCTACTGAGATGGGGATGTGCCAAGAACAGCCAGCGAGTGTCATCATTCTGTCTTGTGTGATTCTGTCTATATGGTTATGGCATCTGATGCCCACTTCCTGTTCTACTTTGGCAAACACATCTCTTATACCATTTGAATCAAACAATCTACTTTCTGAATTGTGGAACGGAATACATAGTACTCAAGAATACTGAGACTACTTTCCCAATTTCCTTTTGCTTGGAAGCCATGGAGTTTCCAGACCTATCACCATCATTTTGAGATCTGCAATGTGGTAGTGGTAAACAGAAACAAAACTAGTGAAAGGCTTCATTCCATGGGGCCTGACATTTTAAATGAAGGGAAGCTCAATGATAAGTAGCGATAGAGACTCCATGAGAAAACAAAATACTTAGCTGGTCAAGTGAAAGCAATCCAAATTAAGTAGAGGATGTCCTCTCTCCTTAAGGTTATCTGGGGTTTACTGACAGATTATGTGCCTAGATTTCCATTTGAAAAATAAAAACTAAATTAAGCCTCTCTATTACTTTTCTTTTTCTTTCTTTCTTTCTTTTTTTTTTTTTTTTTTGAGACAGAATCTCACTCTGTTGCCCAGGCTGGAGTGCAGTTGTGTGATCTTGGCTCACCGCAACCTCTGCCTCCTGGGTTCAAGCGATTCTCCTGCCTCAGCCTCCCAAGTAGCTGGGATTACAGGTGCCTGCCACCATGCCCAGCTAATTTCTGTACTTTTAGTAGAGACGGGGTTTCACCATGTTGGCCAAGCTGGTCTCAAACTCCTGACCTCAAGTGATCTGCCCACCTCGGCCTCCCAAAGTGCTGGGATTACAGGCGTGAGCCACCACGCCCAGCCTCTACTATTTTTCTTGCGGTCATAATCATAGCAGACCCAGAAGACAGCAAGGTTAGATGGTCTCACACATTGATCAATGACTGACAACAATCGAAGATAAAAGGAGAAACCACACAGAGATCAACAGGCCTAAAAAGACAGTGATGGAATGCTTCTTCCCTATGTGGATCTTGTCACATTGGGGATTTTAGGCTCCAATCAAGAGGAAACGACAAATAGTATTTATTTTATCTAGAGGTGTGATCTCCAAGGATACAGGGGAATGTGTACTTTCCTATTCTGAAAGGTATGTCTAATTTTAGCTACACGTTTCTATTGGACATCCCCCACTCTCAACCCATTGCTGCCAGGAGCCAATTACTGAAAAAAAGTTACAATGTAAATATCAGGTAAGTGAGGTTCTCGGCTTGAGAGGCACGTAAAGGACGTGCTTGGCATCGCAAACGATGCTCTGTTACTCAGAAAAGACCTCTGTCTTTTAACAATATGGTCAATATTTTAAAAACATAGTCTTCAAAAGCTTGTCCCAGTATACATTCCCTATTACTCACCGAAAGCCAACATTACAAAATTACAAATTTCCTCTCAAATTGTAGTAGCCAGGAACATTATTTTAAAAATCAAATCCAACTTTAAAAAGAATAAATCTGCAAAATTTTCTCACAGTTTAAAATAATGCACTAAAATTGCAGGATTAAAGTATTTTGAAGGCAAATAAAGGGCATTAAACATATAAAAATAATTGTCACTGCAGAAAAACCTCCTTTCCTTATACACTATTGAGCAAAGTAAAGTGGGCTGAGGCCAGGGAACTGGGCTTAGGTCTGGGCTGGGAATCAGACAGCGGGGAAGGGTGGTTACCTTGTGTGGGAAGCAGCATCGTTTATACTGAAGGTGCTGTTCTCCCTTGTCAGAGGGGTCGAGCCGGCTTGGCTCTTGCTGTGTATGTCTAAGCTCAGGGAAGACTCTGTTTTCCGGTCCAGGCCGTGGCTCTCTGTCTCCAAAGTCCGATCTGCCATGGAGATTACTTCACTGGAGCTGTGCCATAGGGGTGCCACTTTCTCCTTGCCTGGCCCTGAGCGAGGTGACGATGTGGCAGCCCCCAGCGAGGCTGTGCTGCCGTGGCTGGGGCCATAAGAGGTGGTGTCAATGCCACTGTCAGCAGAGGTGCCTTGCAGATAGTTATAGCTGTTGAGTTCGGATTCTGTGCGGTCCCCATCGTACCACTTCTCATCACTATGGGCACTTGACGCATTGCTGGAGAGAGTATTGCTACTGGAGTGGCTCGAGTAGTGGCTATCAGACTGCAAGAGAAGCAGAATTTATTTGAGTGCAAAGTTTTGCTTCCTGAACAAGAGAATAACAGAAATGACACTGTGATTAATTTCTAGTTATAGGGCTCTGAAGGCCTAAAAGTTCCAATAATGACTAGTCACAGTAAGACAGGGAACCTATGTCACTATGGTCCATTCAGAAGTATCCATGGTAAAGGGTACTAGAAACGTGTTTTTTTTTTTTAATCTATTTTTCATTATTTGATTTATGCTAAAGTATCAATACTATTGAGATTATTTTAGTCAGGAAGAAATTTAAATTGTCATTGAAGTTTTAGTATCTTAAAAGAGAAAGGAAATGACATTTCCAAAGGGATTATAATTAGAAAGCATGTTAATTCTAAAAGCCCTATTTGTTCAGAGTAAATAGAAGGCTGAATATAAGACTTATGTCTAGAGAGACCTCCTTCCCCAATTAGCCTCTGTTTAGGAGACAGCCTTCTAAGACATGCTTTGAGGTGAAATTTATACAGAGGTACCAAGGCAATTCAATGGGGAAAAAATTAGGTTTATCATGAAATGATGGTGAGACAACTGAATATTCACATGCAAAAAAGAATAAAGTTGGAACTGGGGCAGTGGCTCACACCTATAGTCCCAGCACTTTGGGAGGCCAAGGCAGGTGGATTGCTTCAGCTCAGGAGTTCAAGCCCAGTCTGGGTAACACAGCAAAACCCCATTTCTACAAAAAATACAAAAATTAGCCAGGCATGGTGGTGCCTGCCTATAGTCCCAGTTATATAGGAGGCTGAGGTGGGAGGATCGCTTGAGCCCAGGAGGTTGAGGCTACAGTGAGCCGAGATTGTGCCACTGCACGGCATTCCAGCCTTGGTGACAGAGTGATACCCTGTCTCAAAAAAAAAAAAAAAGAAAGAAAGAATAAAGTTGGATCCTTACCATATAGAAAAATAAACTCACAAATGATCAAAGATCTAAATGTAAAAGCTAAAACTATAAAGCTCTTACAAGAAAACATATGTGTAAGTCTTCAGGACCTCCAGTTATAAAATGGTTTCTTAGCTATGACAACAAAAGCATATGAAACAAAAGAAAAAAATAAACTGGACTTCATAAAAATTTAAAACTTTTGTGCTTCAAATAACCCAATTAAACAATGGGCAAATGATTTGAATAGACATTTCTCCAAAAAAAAAAAAAAAAACAAAAAAAAAAAAACACCAAAAAACAAATGTCCAACAAGCACATCAAAAGATATTCAATACCATTAGTTATTAGGGAAATACGAATCAAAACCACGAGATGCCACTTTGGCTATAATAAAAAAAAGCCAGATGATAATGAATGTTGGCAATGTTGGGTATATAAAATGGGGTGGTAACTATGGGAAAACAGCTGCAATTCTACGTTGGTATATATATATACCCAAGAGAAATAAAAAGGCATGTTTCATTGTACGTGGATGTTTACAGCCAAATTATTCATAATAGTCAAAAAGTAAAACAAAAAAAAAATCCAAGTGTCCATCAACTAATATATGGATTAAAAAATAGGGTATATCCGTAAAATGGAATATTATTCAGCTATGAAAGGGAATGAAGTACTGATTCATGCTACAACATGGATGAATCTTGGGAACATAATCAGCGAGAGAAGCCAGGCTCAAAAGGCCACATATTGTATAATTTCATTTGTATGAAATGTCCAGAGTAGGCAAATCCAGAGAGAGAAACTGGTGACTGTCTAGGTCTCCCAGGGGATGACAAGCAGTCGGTGGTGGTGACGAAAATGCCCAGGAATCAAGCAGTGCTGGCCGGATAACTCTGTGAAAATGCTGCTACAACTCACTCAATTGTATATTTTAAATGGGTAAATACTATGGTATGTGAATTATATCTCAATTTAAAAAACATATAGAACTCTTTCCATATGCTGGCTTAGATGCTTAGAAAGAACATTTTATAGAGTTTCCCAAATAAGAATTTAAAAGATATCTGAATAAAATAATATTTTAAATTAGAGGGAGGCGGGAAGTCTAGATGATTGCTGGAGATTAAAAGAGAAGAGAAGGAACTGTGTGTGTGTGCGTGTGTGTGTGCGTGCGTGTGTGTGTCTTTTGGTAGAGGAAGGAGCAGGCTCTTCATTGGCTAAGGGGAGGGGCAGGAGTAGGACATGCCAGTTTCTTTTTTTTTTTTTTTTTTGACGGAGTCTTGATCTGTCACCCAGGCTGGCGTGCAGTGGCATGATCTCAGCTCACTGCAACCTCTGCCTCCCGGGTTCAAGCGGTTCTCCTGTCTCACAGCCTCCAGAGTAGCTGGGACTACAGGTGTGTGCCACCACACCTGGCTAATTTCTTGTATTTTTAGTAGAGACGGTTTCATCATATTGGCTAGGCTGGTCTCAAACTCCTGACCTCAAGCGATCCACCTGCCTAGGCATTCCAAAGTGCTAGGATTACAGGTGTGAGCCACCGTACCCAGCCACCAGTTTCACCTCAAAGTGAAACATCTCTTCCCCTTGAAAAAATAATCAATCCCACTTACTTTATTGGTGTTACTCTAGTTTTTCTCAATAACAACTTACTAAGTGCTGTAATAAAGCCTTCATTTATTCTTAATAGGACAGAACTTCTTTAGCTCCAGACCTGTGCTGTGAAATCTGGTGACCCTTAGTCATGTGTGGCTATTGAGTACTTTTAACATGGCTGGTTTGAATTGAGATGTATCAAGAGTGTAAAGTATATAATCCATTTCTACAGAAACATAATGGGAACCATATATGTAATTTTAAATTTTCTAGTAAAAAGTAGAAAAGAAACATGTGAAATTAATTTTAATAATATATTTTATCTAGCCCAATGTGCCCAAAATATTATTTTACCATGTAATCAGTATAAAAATTATTAACGAGGGAGGGGAAATTTATAGATCAATTGGGATAATCTATCATTTACAAGTAGATTTGTGACAATATCACATTGTCACAACTTGCCTCAGTAAATATTTTCCTCATAGAAAGGTTTTCCTCAGAAAACCTTTCTCTTCAGAGAAAAGCGTAGGGCATGCTAACTCTTGCTTGTTTTTTTTAGCTTCAATATTCATTTTTCTATAGCAAAACTTACATGCATCTCTCATTTAAAGTTCTCTGGGCATCTTCCATAGTGAACTAGTAAGCATGAAATACAATATTTCCTCATTCTATAGAATGACGTGAATATAAACATACACATTCCAGTGAACAGACACACCAAGGAAATCAACTGCATGGGGAGGGCGTCCCGTCCCAATAGCGGTATCAGGGAAGAAGAGTGGGGAAAAAAATAAGAGGGGGGTTGGAGAATGATAACCTCATATTCCCAATTTTACTGTAAGTGAGAAGGAATTGTGTATTACTATAGCGAAAGGATGAAATGTGTATGGCTATGAAAGACAAGAGAAGCGGTAGAGGAGGCATAGGGGAAGCTGTCTGTCTCCTACACCTCCTTTACTGCAGCAGAATCAAAGATATGGTTGGAGCATCAGTCCTGCTGGAGCCCTCTCATGGCTGGAGCAGGACTGACGCTCCAACCACATCTCATGCTTGCAATTGTGTAAGCAAATAAAATCAACTTCTAACACATTTCCACTCCTAACATTTCAGGATTGTTAGTGACTGAATCAGATGACCAGACCTGTGGGGGTGGCAGAAGCACAGCAATGAGGAGTTACAATTTATCTCAAAGCAATCTAAAGGCCATGGCAGCAGAAACTGCAAGGCCATGGCAGCAAACGACCACTCTTTGCCAGAATGATTTCCTCTTTGGCCATGCAGAGGAAAGAGCAGAGCATTTTCATAGTGCAAGGAAGGTACACTGCTAGGAATCTAATACTTTTTTAAGTTTACAGTTAACTTACATGCCCTTGTTTGTTTGGAGACAAATGAACCACTGGATCCTGCCGCATTAATCTCCCACTGGGGCTCTCTCGGAAAGCTGGCAGTACCTTTGATACTGCTGGGAGATGGCATGTTGGCTCTGGAATACAGCATAGGACATTATGGTGCAGGCACTAAGCAGAAACAAGCACATGGTGACAAATGAAGATGGCTTGCCATTGCATCTTTCAGTTCACTGACCAGCAAACTCTGCATTTCAGCAGTAAGCTTGTTAAGAGTCTATTTGATAGACAGCAGGTCAGAAACTTAAGTGGCTGATGGATAAAGCTTGCAGCTGGTGACAACTTGTCACGTCATACACATTAGCATAGCCAAGTACCACCAAACCAAAGGCCATGAACAACGCAGCAAAGTTCAGAATCAACTTTTGGTTTGGGGGAAAAATTTAGATTATATGAATTAAATTTATGAAATTCATTCATTGCCAAGTGTGGCTAACCTAGCTTGGTCTACATTACCTAGACAGGCATGGATGCAATCACGTGTTACTTACCATGACACTTTGGAAATATTTTACCTGTATATTCATGCTGCTCGAGGACAAAAGAATTGAAATCCTGAGGTCCTCTATAACTGTAAGCTGAGCACAACAGAAAAGACACACAGCAACTAGTTTACTTAAAACAATTGCTTCCTTTTGGACTCCAAGCTGGCGTTCAAGATGGGGTTCCAAAAGTGAGAGATAAAGAATTTATCCTCCATAACACCACTATAGCTAATAGCAAGAATCCTGGGCCTCTGAAACACCCTTCCTAACATGTAGAGGACAGGGCAAAATACTCCTTGACTCTGACTCTCAACCATTTCCAAAAGCAGAGGCAGAAAAGTGAACAGCCATAAAGATAAGTGAGCCAAGTCAGTAGGCTAAACTCCTGTCTCCACTGTCAGGAGGGTACCTGTTGATAACACACTGATGCCTAACCAATAAGAACCTCGTAAACATTCTCAATCAGTGCAAGTCATTAGAGAATGCTGTTCTTATAAACTGAGTAGAGAATGGTCAGCCCATTATATACTCAATATTGGGTACTGAGTAATAAAAATGCAACAATTATTTTTCTTGACTTCTCCCTGGAATGGCTTATACCAGCTAAGCCTTCTGATTCCTTCTGATGTGCCAGTTAGGAAAGGCTTGGTTATTTTTCTGGAATGCTGGGATATCAAAAATTATTTTAAAAATTATTTTAATATTTTATTTGAAGGGTTGGATTTCCCATGGTGAAAGGCCACCACTTGGACCTCTTGTACTGTAGTGAAAAGGCTTCTTTGGCAGGCTTCAGGGGTATCTTATTTTAAAAAAAGTATACCTTACAAAAAAGATGAGCAAATAGGTTTTAAAAATTCATCTACATTCATTTTTAAGTCTTATCTATTAAGAGTGGGATGCCACTAAAGTAAAGTGGATGCAGGGAAAAAAAGACTAGAGGGAGGTTTGTGTGAGAGAATGAACAGGGGTCTAGGAAGAACCTTGTAATTACCCTTTCCATCCCTTCTCACTCCGTGTGACTTCCCGAGAGTGGGAGGCATGACACTGCATGCCTCACAAAGGGCTTGCTGGCAGCCTTGTTCAAAGCCTGCACTAGGAGCCAAAAAAAGCCGCTAAAGTCATGCTGAAGAAGGGATCCTTTTCACATGTGTCGTTACCATCTCAACAGTATCAAAACATATGGGATTTAAAACATTCTGTCAAGAGTAGAAAAGCAGATCAGAATATGCTCAGGTTTTCTGTGTAGGGGTGGGTAGGATAAGAGTGGAGAATGACAGATGGCTTCAATAACAAGGCACATCTCACTGAAGCTACTGGAACAAAGCATATCTTCAGAACCTAGGAACTCCATTTCTCTTCCTCAACCCCTGTCTTAGTGGAACACATCTCCACTCCTTTCTATGTCCATGGTTAGTACACTTACTTGGGCAAAGTCATTAAAACAGGACAAAACAATGAATTTGCAGAGAAGATTAACAGATGGGTCTTGTCTTATAAGATTATCTTTTTCAGCCCTGAAATGTACACCTTTTTATCCTACACTGATGCAACTAGAGATTAAACAAAGGAGGAAAAAATCCAACAGTCTAACAATCTAGATTCAAGTTAATGATGCACCAACTGTGTTGGTACCAAATCCCTGAGGCTCCTGTGTTGAAAATCTTGTTTCATGGCAAAATGTTATTGTATCAACTAGTGTTATGGTGTCACTGTGAAACAACATATATATAGAAAGAAAGGGCTATGCAGTAGAAATCCGGGCACAAGCTCACCAATGCAAATCTCTTCCACCCAGCTGTTTCATACTGCTAAGACATTTCCTTAGCTGACAGCTTAATAGCAGAGTGAGAAGAATTTTTTTTAAAAGCACATCAGGGAGGAAAGAGATTCTAAGCAAGCTACGGATGTGACTAAACAATAATTGTATCTCTTTTCCACTTTGTTAGTAGTTTTGTTTTTCAAATTGACATTAAGTATACCAAGCAATCTCTCAAGGCACTTATTCTAGGCAAAAACAAATAAACAAGGGGGAGGAAGGTACTTAGTCTGGTAGTCTGGTGTTTTAATCTAGGTGCTCAAAATAATTCCTATCGCCTTTCCAGTTTTGAATTTGGGGTCACTTAGAATTCCTTTTCTCTTAGGTCTTATTTATTGTTTTCACTTATACATAATCTAACAGAGACTTAATTCTAATTCATATTTATTAACTAGGGCTACCTTTTATAACAATGTTTTGATAACATCATCAAGAGGTGACCTAAGTCACCTTGTAAAAGCAACTTTCTTCTTGTAGAAATTGATTACTTACCCATCTGGTCAGCAATGCTATCCTCACTTCTTTGCCAGCTAGGCGTGGATTTTCCGCTGCCACCAATATCTGACTGGGTGTTCTGCCTGTCAATGGAGGCTGGGGATCTACGGCTCACTCCAAACCTGTGGTGATTTCCGCAAAGGCAAAGACAACATCAGGGACCTTACCCATGAGGGGAAGGCAGTCCTGGGTGTAATGAACTAAATTTTAATGACAGGCACTACTGGTTTTTGCTTATGTGTCTGTACTTGTATACACACCCTGGTTCGTGTTTACGTGGGTGTGGAAATGTGTATGTTGTGGTCAATATACACCACTCTGCTCAAAAAGGTATGCATGCTATGTAAACAAACTTGTAACAATGAGGGCGGAAGCCATTAGGACTGAGCTAACCTAAGGTATGTAGTATAAGAAACCAAAATTTTCTAAGCCCTCGTACAGCCAAGTTCAGACTTACTCACAGCCAAAAGAAAAAGTTCACAAACTAAATATTAATATTCCATATATATCTTCCAAATGGTATACTGTGGAGGTTTGTTTCTCTTAACTTGGTAGTTTACTAAATCATTAAGTCAGTGGTTCTTGGAACAAGTATTTTCTGAGTACTTGCTTTGTGGTCTGAAATACAAAGATTACTATCATTTAGATCATGTAGAAACCACGTTCAAACTGTATAAATTTTAAACTGCCTTTGGGAAGGGCAATTTGGAAGCAGGTAAACTGGCAAAAAATAAAGGCAAATGTTTATTTCTGGAAAGAACATTTAGCTATTTAGTGAGCCAGTTTTATTTTTCCCTTTGTAAAATAATAATACATGCTTAATTAAAGCATATGCCTTGACTAGCAATATCAACAAAGTAAATACTGACTGAGCCCATGAAAAAGTGCCAGAGTGTAGAATTTAAACATTCATATGGAAATTTACTAATATATATGTGGTTACTAATGAACTTTATGCATAATCCATATAATAAAAGACCAAATAGGGGCCAGGAGCAGTGGCTCACGCCTGTAATCCCAGCATTTTGGGAGGCAGATACAGGAGGATCACTTGAAGACAAGAGTCAAGACCTGCCTGGGCAACAGAGACCCCAGGCTCCACAAAAAAAAAAAAAAAAATTAGCCTGGTGTGGTGGCCACTACAGTCCCAGCTACTCAGGAGGCTGAGGTGGGAGGATGGCTTGAGATGGGCCTGGATGAACTGATGCTTGTGGGGTGTCTTCTTGCTATAGGCTGATACATGTATGGGTAAAACCAGGAAGTGGTGCACAGAAAGGCAGGAGATAAACAATAGGAAGACCTGGGGCCAAGTTCCAACCCCCATCCAATATGACTGAACAAAGTCACTGAATTTTTGCCTCAATTTATGTGTAAAACGGCAATTCCATTATAAGAAGCCAAGGAGAAAAATCTACATAAAGCATCTGCAAAGTAGAAGGGGCTAGAAAAACACTTATCTTAATAAAACTTTTTTTTTTTTTTTTTTTTTTTTTTTTTTTTTTTTTTTTGAGACGGAGTCTTGCTCTGTCCCCTAGGCTGGAGTGCAGTGGCGCAATCTCGGGCTCACTGCAAGCTCCGCCTCCCGGGTTCACACCATTCTCCTGCCTCAGACTCCTGAGTAGCTGGGACTGCGGGCACCCGCCACCACACCCAGCTAATTTTTTGTATTTTTAGTAGAGAAGAGGTTTCACCATGTTAGCCAGGATGATCTTGATCTCCTGACCTCGTGATCCGCCCGCCTCGGCCTCCCAAAGTGCTGGGATTACAGGCGACAGCCACCGTACCAGCCAATAAAACTCTTATTATATCATCCCCCCAGTTACTGTTTCACAAATGCTTTTCATTTACATACCCCATCACAAGGCTCACTAAGCAAAGCTATCTCACATACTGATGTAGCACTTATCAAAAATAAAAACCTTGATTTATGAAAACTTCTAATTGGTTAAAGTGGTCATTTAAAAAAAGGACTCACAATTACACTTTTTGCCATCTCCTCCCTAAGGGTCCTTGTTTCATTCATAAGAGTAAATATACCTATTTATGATCCTATTCTAAATTTGTATTAAGACTTTTTTAAAAGGCATGGAGATGCCAGTTAGAAATGGATTCTAATCATGCTTTTACTTTTTTATTTTTTAAGAGACAGGCTATGTTGTCCGGCTGGACTCAAATTCCCAGCCTCCACGGATCTTCTCCTGCCTTAGCCTATCAAGTATATGGGACCACAGTGCCCACTTGCTTTTATTTTTTGGTAGCAGTGTAAACTTTTAAACCTCTGAACCTTTTAAACCTCTGAACTTAAAGCTGGACATTTTTCTGGCCCTCTGGTTTTAAATAAACAATAAGGTAAAACTATCCTTAAACTCTGCTTTGGAAAACATTTTCATCTGATGAACTTTTAATTTCATTTCTCATGTATGCCCCCTATCCCCAATTTATTGTATGCCAGAGTATAAGGGATACCCAGTCCTGAAGAGCTAAGATAAAACTTGTTCTAAATTTTACTTGGTGCTGTTTTTGAAGAACTTAATTGTTCTTTGTTCAGAGAAGCATTTAGTAGTTTAAGAGTCACAGTTAGATTTGAAGGAGTTTTAAGTAATCATTTGGCTGACATATGAAACACATTCAGTGATCAAGGACTCTGCCTCATGAGGCCATCCAGTTCTTTCCAGGGCAGGCTGACAGCTTTGAAATATCTTCCTCAAAATGGGCTGGACCCTTCTTCTCTATAACTTTCATTTATTGGCCTCACTTGTCCTCACAGACAAATTTGATCCCTAATCTAAGAGTCCTGGAAGAAAGCTACTGTGGCCTCCTTACCTCCATAATTCTCATCCTCAGCTTGCACATCCTCAGTTCTTTCTCCCACATGGTCTCCAAACTCCTCATTTACCGGGGCCCTCTCTTTGGACCTGCCCTGCCTGGTCAGAATTCCTCAAAGTGTGTGGTCCAAAAATAAATCTCCAAGGAGGGTAGAACACGCCCTATGTCTTTTAAACAGTTTTGCTTCTTAACTGCCTCTCATTCCCATCCTAAAACTTGTACAGGTGTTTTTTCTACTTTGGAGTAAATAAGAAGTGACAAAATCTGAACTGTGAAACTAAACAATATATACAATGGACAAACTAATGCAATTTGATTTCTTTGCCATTTAGTTCCTCGTAGAGGCTAGAGGATGATAAACTTCCTAAGAAGTAGTTTAAACCAGCCATGAAGCCATTTTTCTATCTGGATTATTAACTACGTTTTCTCTTTTGTTTGTCTACAAATTGATCAAGGCTGGCTGAATGGAAGTCATTTTACATGTCTGAGTACAGATGAAAGAAATGATGCCAACAGGGACCATGTACAATGGGACAAACGCATAACTACCCTTCGGGCATGGACTTCTGCCTGTAAGTGCCCCCCACAGAACCAGTATCACTGGATGAAGACAAGTTGCTAGGAGAGTTCCGACACTGGGATCTTGCTAAAGCCATGGATGAGACCGTCACATAGATGTCCGAACCAGGAGACAGCCTGCATGTGCAATACAAAAACATGAAGTCAACAATTCAAAGGGAAAATCCCAAGGCAACGCATGATGGATAATATCATATAAATGTGACAAAAACAGTGACTTCATGGAGATAGTGAAAATGAAGCCAGCTGGAAGCCTACAAAAGAAACTTCCCCATAAAATGACTCCCTAGGGGAACAGCTGGAAAACTGCCTTGGAGGGGGTGGGGGTGGGTGTCACAAAATAATGGGGAAAAAAGATCTAGAAAACATGTATGCTTCCAAAAGCTGCCAGAATTCAATTGGCTAAATTACTTATGCAGTTTCCTAGTATGGCAGAGCAGAAGATAATTGAACCCAAGTGACATTAACATAGCAATTAATTCCAATTTCTTACACTAGTCCTCCCAGAGTATATGACCATAGTAACACTGGTACATTTTTTGTATGCTTCTTTGTTTTCCAATTTTATTATTCACACTCTGGAATGAATATTCAGATTTTGCTATTTAGTATTTATAATTCTGGTTGGTAGTAGTATCACTATATAAAAACCTCCATGAAAAAATGTCTAAAACTGCAGTTGTTGAATTTAACTAGAATTACTGAATGTATATAATATCACAGTAGAAGTGTGCTCCACATGGGCACCTCATGTATCTGTTTTTAAAGTTATGGGTCCTTCACACTGCCAACTGGCTGTCAAGGCAGAAACCATAGCTTTGTGGTCAGGACAGACATGTTTTTTACCCTCTACCTCCTCTACTCTAGTAGGCAACACGGCAACCACAGGGATATGAGTAAGTGACGCTGTGCTGACAGTTGTGACTAGGTTTAAGCTAACCCTTAGTAACGATGGTATTTTATTTCAGAAGCAAATGCTGGCACAAATCACTCGACTACTTGTAGCAGGGGAGGTCATTTCCATTTTATAACTTAGGAAGTGAAATCTAAGTCATTGTTCAAGTTCACAACAAGTCAGGTCTCTAGACTCTAAGCCCACTGCACTCCATGCTAAACTACTGCTGTCCCCTAAGAGAAGGCCTGTTTTCTGTGGTTTTTTTTTTGTTTTTTTAATAAGACAGTTTATAATGGGTTTGCATGCTCAAACAACTTTGCACATAAAGCTATCTTAAGACAAGTCAAAGTTTTGACGTCTTGAGACAGAAGCTGCTTCACTGGCAGAGGCCCTGTCCCACAGTGAACCTATTTATCTTCTGAGTAGGGCAGGATGGGGCTTCAGGTATAGGAAGCTGAGAAGCTTTGCTAATAGAGAAAGAATAAGGATAGATACTAAAAGGTACAACTCCCAAATTAATCCATGCCCAAGAGGCAGATCTGACTTGAGAGCCCAGGTTTGTCTCCGGCTCTCTCCTAAACATCTTGACTGGACACCTTTCACCAGCAATCCAAATCAGACCTTTTCAAGACTAACACATTTTATCCCACTCTCCAATAACGCAAACTGCCCTTCCTATATTTGTTATCTCAAGATAAACATCATTTTTTTTTTGGTACCACATAATGGCTTTATTCACAGGACAACTTGTGACTGCAAGTCATGTGTCTAGTCAAGCTAAACATGGTGAAGCCATTTTTTTCCTTCCTCTGTCTTTACTTTCCACAGTCAATTGGGTTAATTAAGTTCAACTACTATTTACTGAGCACAAACTGTGTGTCAGGCACCTGGTGCTGGTCCTGATAACACAAAGACAAAGAAGATATCTAGTTTCCAACCTGCTGAGGGGCTTCTGATTTCTCTCACCTGCAGCCTGGGTCAGTCCAAGTGTCCCGACAGGTCTCTCAACTTCCAGGCTCTCTCCACCCCATTCCTCCAGCAGCCCCAACCCACCCTCTTCCATCAAGTCAACAGACTGCTAAAAGCCTATTCAAAGCTTCCCTTTGCCTACAGGATAGAGGACCAAATCCCTGAGACCCTCTTTAAGGCCTTGAACCATCTGACCAAACCCCATCCTCATCTCCATCCCCATTAATGGCTCCACACACCCTACATTCTAGAGAAAGTCAAGGTGTCCCAGTTCTCAGACTCTGCCCATTCACACTATTATTCATCTTTTTCTCTCTGCCTGGAATGCCTTCTTCCTTTGCTACTCACATAAAAAGGCCTGATGCCAACATCATAGCTTTGAATTCATAGATTAGAATCTCCTCAAATCCCATGACAATCTGTTCTTTGCACCATTACACCAAGTCATACAGAATGGTTATTTTATGTGTGTCTCCCTTAATGTGAATTAAGATTCTGTCTTTAAGGGGCCAGGACTGAGCCTTATTTATCTTTACATTTCTGAGTGCTTAACATGTGTTTTGAATGAAGGAGAATCCCTATCAGTGGTGTAGAAAATGAAGAAGAGAAGGGGGATTCAGGACAAGTACCATAGTTATGTCAGATGCCCCAAATCAGGAGTTCTCAACTATGGTGGGGCTAGATCACTTGAACAACAGTTGGTCACTAATAATGAAGTGCCAAAATTTGTGAATAATTTAATAAAAGCAACTGTAACAGACTGAAAGTTAATATGCCTTCTAAAATGCAAGAAAAAGGGATGGAGTTACAGGTGATAGAATTACACCTAAGCCCAGACACCCATGTGAGTATCATCCATCTTACATATGATGGTGAGAGAACTTAGGACAATGCCTGTTCTAACTAGTGTGAAATGGGGTAAACAGGGAGACTTGGGATGTCAGTGTTCGGGAAATGTGGTGAGAAGAAAGAAGCAGGGTTTCTAAAGTCTTCCTGTTATCATCATCAATCTTGCTGTTGCTATACAGACTGTGAGAAATATGGGCCAATCACCCACTGGCACTGTAATTAGGTTGCCAGATCTCAAAGTAGTGTATGCGTGGGGCAGGTATGGCGGGGCCACGTACTAGTGGGATACTAGCTCATTTCTACTTCAGGTAATGTGTTTTAATAAGAGAAGATCAAGACATTTATCTGGGTACCATAACATGGGTTTCTCTTTACTCTTTTCCACTGAGACATATTGCAAATTTCTCATTATTATTCTAAAGTAATTAATTGTAAGGTGATCTGAAAGGGGTATGAATAGGAGGAATTGGTTATGAAAATGAAAACCAAGTAAGGCTTAAGGAATGACGTGAATCCAAATATAACAAAATACCACATTCCTTTCAACCTGAAGTGTTTGGCTCTTATACACACCTAATAGAGAGAAACTTCAAATAGAGTTTCACTTCATAGCTGCTTTGACTTTCTTACTGCAAAGGGGAGGAGGTGTTACAGAAAACTAGAAAAAAAGGAGACAGCAGTGGAATGTTAACCCAGTGAAGATTAATGCAACGTGTAGGGGTCTGATGATTTTTTGACTTAGGGGTAAACAAGCAATGCCAGTGAAGTATATTTACGGTGAACGTTAAAATGTTTATGCTTCTATGAGGAAGTTACAACATAATTCCAAAGGAAAAGTCAAGATGTAACCTTTACATTTGTATTTAGAGGCTGCTTTTCTTACCCTGCTCTCCAAACGTATATTAAGCTAAGATATCGCAGGCTAGTTCTCAACCTCAGCTTTCTTATTTGGCAAATGTATCAGAAAATTCTATTTGGTTACTGGAGTTATCCCAAAGCGAAAAAATAGCATTTCCAGAAGGCTGGCATTCATTCCCATCCCTCTTTTGCATTTATATAACTCAATAGTGGCTTTGTTTTCTGACTGTTCACACACATAGAACACACATAGAGCAACTGATGGAATGCCACCCAAATGTTTTTATGACTCTAGATGTATGTATGGTAGGCAAAGAAAAATTCAGAATTAGCCCTTATTCTGATGACTTACTATTTTTTCCAAATACTCTGAATTTGATACTATCACACAAATATTATTTGAGAACAGACCTAGTGGGAGAGTGGAAGCCACCGCCGCCTGTCTGGGTACTGGCAGTCCACTTCTGAAGAGATAGCCTGAGGCTGATCGTTATTGGAAGATGGGCTGATTGCTATCCTGCCACTTTGAAGAGGTGCTTCAAGAACTGGGAGCAGTACCTCTCACATTGGCTCACATAGGAAAACCAGCACACTGATCTCCTGGATCTCTGTCCATCCCACCCCACCTTACAAGCGTACTCTGTTTTAAGAGCTGCTGAGTCCAGTGAAGTTACAGCAAGATCACAAGAGACTTTTCTTCTCTTTTGAGATAAATCCAGATCTTTCTGCTTAAAGAGCCCCAAACGTCTGATGTTAATGCCCCAACAGATTTAGAGGACAAAGATTAATACCTCTTTCAATTGCTGTGAGATCTTTCCATTCTGTTGAATACAGGCAATATTCTTTTTAAAGAATGCTCTGGTCACTGTCAGAGAGGAATTCTGTAAATCTTTTAGCATTAATTTCAGAAGATTTTCTTCTCTATATTTTTATAAATTTAGTCAAGAAATAACTAAACATTTTTAAAATAACTGATACTAAACATCCTCTGGGGCTTCCTTCTGCTGAAATAAAACACCAGGGCTTTTTTTTTTATTGTACTAAGAATGCGCAATTGAAAAAGTCATGATCATCACCATCCAGAGACATTACTTCCACAGTCTTTTGACTACACTTAACACTAAACACCAGCTTTTCATTTATATGCAATGCACTTCACTGCAGTGAAAACAGAGAGTTGAAGGGGTTGGACATTTAGGAAGAGATGGTCCAAGATACGTCCTTCATTCTTCCAGAAGCAGTCGCACACCAGGCTAAAAAAGAGAGCTGACACACACACATACACACACGCACACACACACGGATTTCTAACACAACCACCCCTGTCCTCCACCACACCTATTCCATGAATCAACTCACAGGACGACATATATAGTGCCAACATTAATAGATTCTTATTAAACTGATCACTCCAGATTATGACTGATTACAACTTATCAACTTATGGCTATGGAATTCTAAGTGACAAGTTGATGGTAAAATATTTTCCTAACTGATTAGGTAAGATTAATTAAATCTCTATTCTATTTCTTACTTTTTATTCCAACATGAGATATGTACAAGGACATAAGGCCCTCAGTAACCCAAGTGCAAACAGTGAGCTGGTGGTATAAACAAGTGAGAGCACTTCAAACAGCAGCAGTGATGGACAAATTAAATGCTTGAGTCCATAATTAAGCACAGCATTTTACCACAACTTAGCAATTGCTATCCAACCAGGGAACAGGACCAAGTTAAAGTCTTCTGTCTTCAGCCATGTATATCAACTAGGATTCTTCCAAAATTATGTAAAAAAAAAAAAAAAGAAAAGAAAAAAGAAAAATCTCTACAACAATTCAAGGTGATGTAATTTGGGTGCTATAACCGGAGTAGTTTGAACAAGTTGTGTTCAACTTCAAGCAACTCGTGCCTGTCTTTTCATCACTTCCTGTTGTGTACTTTGTGAACAGAGTTACTGCTGGCTTTCTAACCACATAATTCATACCAGCTGTTCAGACTAGATCATGGGAATCCTGTTCTTTTTTTTTTGAGACGGAGTCTTGCTCTGTCTCCCAGGCTGGAGTGCAGTGGTGTGATCTCGGCTCACTGCGATCTCCTCCTCCCAGGTTCAAGTGATTCTTCTGCCTCACCCTCCCGTGTAGCTGGGATTACAGGCACCCGCCACCACACCCAGCTAATTATTGTGTTTTTAGTAGACAGGCTTTCGCCATGTTGGCCAAGCTGGTCTCCTGACCTCAGGTGATCCACTTGCCTCGACCTCCCCAAGGGCAGGGATTACCAGTGTGAGCCACAGCAGTTGGCCCCAAAATCCAAAACTTTTTGAGCGCCAATATAACATTCAAATGAAATGCTCATTGGAGCATTCTGGATTTCAAATTTGGGATGCTCAACCAATAGGATCAATGCAAATATGCGCAAAATTAAAAAAAAATTGAAATTTGAAACATTTCTGGTTCAAGCATTTTGGGTAAGGGATGCTGAACCTGTATTACCCTAATTAATCTTCACAGACTCTAAGAGGTGGGGCTGTGACCTACTTGAGTCATGGGGATGTTAAAGTGCAGAAGGACAGGACCTTGCCCACTGCCACACACTCCCAGTAGCGTAGGCAGGATGCAAATCATGGCCCCTGGACAGCACAGCCTACCCTCCTGGTGCTTCTAGGAATTTCCAGGCAGGTCACACTAATACACAGGTGGCCCTGCAGAGAGGAAGCCGTTATGGAAACATTTCCCTAGGGTGAGTGCAGAATAGCTACTTTCGAGGCCCAAGGAATGATGAGTAAGTAACTGAAGAGCTGGAGCTGGACACAGTACTGGAGCATTCTCCTCCCATTCCTGGGCCACTCTGGAGTTTGTAAACGATGGGGAACTGGGAGGTGTGCCAAGCTGAAGCCATTGTGCCCATTTCCTGAATGCCTGAATAGGAACCACTGTTGCAGTATCATCTAAAAATGTGAACTTGCAAATCACATCAACTCTAATCCTGACATGGATGCCAGAGTACGCTGTTTCCTGCAAGGAGTGGAAAACAGGAGCCTTCAGAGTCCGGTCACTTTAAGTCAAATGCGGCCCTCTGCTTTTCTCCCTTGTCTTGGCTGACAAATACACCACCAGAATTCAGTTCCAACTAAAACCTTTTGAAGGAGTCAATCAAGATCTTGCATTTCACTTTGAGTCAATTTTAGAAAAGCTCTACCAGCAATATACTTTTAAAATGAAGTATTCTAAACTTAGTCAACAAAAACCAAATAATTCTACTTATATCTATGTTTAATGCTATAGCTTTATCAGACTATCAAGTGCTTTGCCTTTACCTATCATCTAATTTTTATAAAAGGAAATTGGTTTATTTTCTCCAAGATAGATTAAATTCTGTCCCCAGTTACTTAAATAAGCCCTTTTGTTATTAAAGGGTCATTACCACAAATGGAAAGTAGAGGAAACTCTTCGTGTGGAAAGCTGGACTACCATGTGAAGTGTAGACACACTAAGTTGAGGAAACTCTTCTTAAAAAAAGCATTGGGAGCCTATTAAATGCCAGAGTCTGTGGCTGGTATTTGGAATACAAAGATGAATAAGACAGGCTAAGTTTAAAGAAATGGACAAATAACATTAAAGCGAAGTTTCATAAATTTTGTGAGTGAAGAAGCCATGTGGTGGTAAGAACATTCCTAGTGAGGCAATTAAGGTAGAAATGGGAGGAGAGTGTTTTGGGGAAATTAAAGGCGACTTGTCAGAGGAGCAGGCATGGCAAGACTTCAGCAGTCAAAAGAAGGAGTGGAAGGTGCACCAAGTAGAGGAGCTCCTAAAAAGGCATCAAGGGGAACATAGTGCTTGCAGAGGAGAGAGCCACTCCCATGCCTAGGGATGGGGGTGGTGACGATGATAGGGGAAAAGGGAAAGGCAAGTCCACATAGACAAACTTTTTGGGAGGGACAGGGTCTCACTCTGTTACCCCGGCTGAAGTGCAGTGGCGTGATCACGGCTCACTGCAGCCTCAAATGCCCAGGCTCAGGTGATCCTCCCACTCAGCCTCCCAAGTAGCTGAGACTACAGGCATGTGCCACCACACCTGGCTAATTTTTTTTTATTTTTTGTAGATACGGGGTCTCACTATGTTGCCCAGGCTGGTCTTGAACTCCTAGACTCAAGCCATGCACCAGCCTTGGCCTCCCAAAGTGGTGGGATTATAGGCATAAACCACAGCACCCAGCCAACACAGGCAAACTTGCTGGTGAGTTGGACTTGATCCTGAAGGCTGTGTGGAACTATGGAAGGGCTATAATGAAAAGGCACAGCCTGAGGAGTATATCCATTTTTATTAGGTCATCCTTCCAGTGGGAGGCTGGTAATCATACCTAGAGGCTGTTGGCAACAGTTTAGGTAAGCAAAAGAAACTTAGTGCGAAATGAGAACTTCTCAGGCAATGGCAGGAACATGTGTGGAGATGGGATGATAGTGCTGAGGGGAAGTTGATAACGAATCCTACTTCTGCTCTGGATACTCAGGTAGATGGCAAAGCCATCCACCAAGGTGGGTAACACACGAGACGGAAGAGGCAGAAGGAGGGGCAGGTGTGAAGGTCAAGTCAGCTTGAACTTGTGAATGTGAGACACTTTCATGCCTTTCAAGTGCATATGTTCAGTAGGTAGTCAGGAATATGAAAAGTGAAAAAGAGACCAAGGCAAAACAGATCAGCTAAGGAACTGCCCACATACAGATGACAGTTGAGGTTGCTCAAGTGGATGAACCTTCTAGAAGAATTGCACAGTGTGGGATTCAAATAAAAATGAGGAAGAAGTGGGGAACACAAATTTCAGGGTGATGAGATAGGCGCAAAGAGCTGACGATACAAAAAAAATCAGGAATACCTTTTGGAAGACAAGGAAATGTAATTTGAAGAAGGAGGGAGTAGTGAATGGTATCAAATAAGCTAAGGACCTAACACCATCCAGAAGCTTTAGAAATGTAGAAGTTAGCTGGGTGCAGTGGCTCTCACCTGTGATCCCAGCACTTTGGGAGGCTGAGGAGGGAGGATCACTTGAGGCTAAGAGTTTACAACTAGTCTGGGCAACAGAGTGAGACACTGTCTCTATAAAAAAAATCATTTCAAAACATAAGCTGGGTGTGGTGTGGCGTGCACCTGCAGTACTAGTTACTCAGCAGATTGAGGTGGGAGGATGGCTTGAACCCAGGAGTTTGAGTTTACAGTGAGCTAAGATCAATGCCACTGCGACAGAGTGAGACCCTGTCACAAAAAAAAAATAATTAAAGAAATGAAAAGAAATATGGAAGTCAATGGGCAATGGGGACCTAGCTGGAGCATTCCCAGTGAAGTTCAAAAGTCCCATGATTTCAGGATCCTCATGGCAAGGCACGAAGCTGTGATGGAGGGGGCCAGTATTTGGAAAGCACAAGTCTGAGGCTTCTAACCACAGCTAATATTCTAAACAAAAGAAGAGTAAACATTAAATGGTGCTTGTTTTGTTTGAAAGCAGAAAATGACACAGTGGAAGATTAGCTTAGATCCTGTATGATATAACAAACTTAAAAAGTATTTCCTTAAAAATCAAGACTGAATGGTCACGTGACTATTATGCTCTCTGAGAGGAGAACTCTTTTAAGTTTGTTTCCACCATATTCACACCCTATATGGTGCTGGTGTCTGTAAGGAAGGAGGGAGGGAGGCTGCAGACGCAGCTGCCATAACTGCGTGAACAAAAAAGGCCCCCCATCCAGCTTCTTAAGAGTTAAGTGCAGGGGTCTCAAGGGGAGTAACAATGACATCCAGGTAAAACTCAGAAGTACCAAGTGTTCAGTGAGCTCTAACATCAAATATTTACATAAAGGCTGGTAATACCAGCCTAAAAAAAGGAGAAAAGAAAATCATTTTACATGCTAAGATGTCTGTTGTTTATCCAAAGCCCCTCAAATAGCTCAACTTTTATAAGCATATTAACACAGATCAGGGTTTTATTGCTGATCCCGCATTATGTTTAAACACAGTAATGTATCAAGTTCAGCGTGCCACAGCCAGCAATTTTTATTTCAATCCTACCCTTAAGCTCTAGGTAAATTTGAGGCCAAAATAGTGACCGTATCATATTACCTATTTCTGTTGAACGAATGTTAATTGTTAATAACTACTACTCTCACAAATACTGTAAAATTCTGTAATCAGAAAGCCACCTGGAGAGCATAAAACTCATATATTTAAACCAAATAGAAATTAGACTTTATTCTATTTAGATGCCAAATGGATTATCAATTCTTACTGTGTCAGTTTCTCTTAACTATGTATAAAGAACATCATCCAACTAAAGAATTTTTATTAAAACTCAAAACACCAACATTTTTATGTCATAAAAATCCTGACCTTGATATTAAAGGAAAAATATTATGCAGATTTATTTTTTTTGTTCCTAATGACCTTTAAGTCTGGGATACTACATACAAATTAAAGAAAAACTATGCTTCTACAAGCAGTAAATTAGTGTTTTCACCCAAAATGGACTGTGTTGGATCCATCCATGGTTACTTAAGTGGGCAGATTTGGGGAGCACTGGAGGAGTAGACTTGAGATGGCTGCTAACTTGAGCTTAAGTATAGCTGGTTTCTCTATGGTTAAACACAATTTCCCTAACCTACAGGAGAAAAAATGAATGGAATGAACAACTGTAAAGCATTCTTTAGTCACAATATTACGCCACACCATTACTGGTAAGGCAAGATTCAAGGTCTGGCAGACCCTGTCATTTATTTTCATGATTTATGATTCCTCTGAAAGGTCCAAATTATACTTGGTGAGTACAAGGTACAAATTGTAAATGGCACTCAGGACGGCGCTGGTATGCAGGGGAGAGTCAGATGGATGAGGGGTGCCCCGGTACTCCTCACTTCTGTATCTCAATAAGGTATTTGTTCTCAGTAGGACTACAAAGGGGATGCTTTAAGTTTTCAGTTATGTTTTACTAAATTTCATGAAGGAAATTATATTCTAAGGTGAACTTTATGCATCTGGGGACTCAAGAAGGACTGAGGAAGTATTTCTGATAAAACTCATGAATCTGCTCTATCCTCAAATATTCCTGGAGTCACAGTAGCAAAACAAACTTTCTCAAACACGAGTAGCCCGTATCCTAAATTCTTTGGACCAGAAATGTTTTGGATTTTGGAAGTTTTTGGATTTTGAAATATTTGCATTACACTTGCAGTTGAGCATCCCTAATCCGAATATCTGAAATCCTCCAATGGGCATTTCCTTTGAGCATCATGTCAGTGCTCAAAACGTTTTAGATTTTGTAGTATTACAGATTTCAGACTTTTGGATTAAGATATTCAATCTATAGTACCTTCTCTTTATGCCTCAAAATTAAAACTTAAAAGATATTTTTTACTAAAAATTAGGAATGATGGGGTAAGAAACTGAACTTTAAATTTTCATAAAAGAAGAATATCCATCCAATTAATTACCATATATTTCAAAATGAAGATGAGCCAAATCATCCTAATATCCTGGAAACTGTAGGACTGAGATCTCACAAGTCATCTAAGCCCTGCATCCTAAGATCTGAAATCCTAGTCTAGTGTACTGAATATATACCAGAGACTAAGGGGGCAGTGAGTAGAGGTTAAATTTTCCTGAAAACCTCGTCAGCCCCACCTATGGCCCTTTCACCTCTGCAGCTTAGAGAGTCACAAGCTACTCTAATGGTCTTCTAGAAGGCGCACTTACTGAGATGCATTTTCCTCTGGGTGGAGTAAAGAAGAAAGGCAGACACAAGTACACACAGAAATTACCTCTAGAACTCAAGGATCTACATCTGGAAAAAATGGAGTTCTGCATTCTCTAGCACTGAAAGCTGCTCCCATCGAAATATGATACTCAGCTACAAAAAATATTTTCCCTTTTGAAGGTCAGTATGACTGGCAAGGAGCTTTAGTTTCTGTTGCAGAAATTAAATTCAACATGGAATCAAAATACATTCTCAAATGGAATATTGTATAAAGGAAATTACACAAAGCCAATTTCACTTGTGAAAGCCTGCTGATTGTTCTGGAGAGAAAGAAAACAGCACTGAGGTGGGGGAAAAGGTCCTTCTCTATACAGTGATTTCCTAGGTTCATCTTTCAAAATGTGGGCCAAATCATGAATTCCAGTTAGCACACACCTCAGAGGCAGCCAAGTCTGGAATGTGTCAAAAAAAGAATTTACTCAGAGGTCTCTTGGATGTTTTCCTCCTCAAAATAAGGAAAGAGAGGAGTCCAGATGGTAATGGGGCCACTATGGGAGAGGAAACTTTTATTGAGATAAATAGCAAGGCTCTGTAAACAGATCTCCAGGATGAAATGAGAAGTTGTAGAAAGATGACTATGTTTTTGGTTTGTCTGTTTTAATTAAATTGTTTGTCTGTTTTTATTAAATTATTTCTACATGGTATCCTAGTAACCTAAAATAGTTAAGTGACAATGTTTTATGCAACAGTTCAAAAGTCAGACTAAGATAAAGACTTCATAGTGTGGTTTCTAAATCTTCCTGCTCTCTGCTTCCAAACTGGAGCGGTGATGATTTACGTGTATCTGGGAACCGTTTTCCTCAGCACCCTGCTCCTGCCAGACCTGGTTCTTGCCACTCAGATGAGTCAGGCTCATGTTTTGGCTTCCACATGGACCCTCCCTTCTCCCCAACACAGTTCCCAGAATACAGACTTCTCCCCAGGTCTAAGGGTTTTCACAACAACATTCTGAGATGTGATTAAGGCAATCCTGAAGAGATGGGGAAAGGACAGTGGATGGACAGAAAGAAGTTGACTTCTAGGCCAGGCGTGGTGGCTCACGCTGTAATCCCAGCTACTTGGGAGGCTGAGACAGGAGACTCGCTTGAACCTGGGAGGCAGAGGTTGCAGTGAGCCGAGATAGCACCACTGCACTCCAGCCTGGATGACAGAGTGAGACTCTGTCTAAAAAAAAGAAAAAAGAAAGAAAAAAAAGAAGTTGATGACTTCTAGCAGACCACTAGCAGATTATTCAATTAAACTGCTTTAGTGTACATGATTTGAGGTAACCAAATTTATAGTGCAATTACTTAAAATCTGTATAGCCAACTTCTATTCCCATTTTGAAAGCACTTAATCTAGTTTAATTTTAGGCCTGGACTCTAGTTCAAAGTGCTGCAGTTTACTCTTAACTCCAGACAAAAGTGCTAGGGCAACCTTGTAAAGGCAGAGTTAACCCACTACCTTTTGGGAGGGAACTCTCTATGGCTTTCAATTTAACAACAACCTTTGGTTTCTTACTTTCTAGGACCCCTCAGTCCCTCTCCCTCTGGCTTACTTTACTCAGGACTAAGTGTTTTAACGTATCTCCACGTATCGTCTTCTCTTCACTATTCTTTCCTATTTTCAGAGTAGTGAAAAATATGTTTGTGTTATACTAGTTTTCCTTCCGCATAATCCTTTATTAATAAAGTGACACAAACATAGTTATTCAACCAAAAACCTGCCTTCTGTTGCTCTTATATCATCATTTCGGAACAAAATGATGAAGACTGTCAAGGATGATATACAGTCACTGTCACCTCAAAGAGTCTGCTAAATTCTAATCCACAGGGCCACTAAGCATGCAGTAACGACGTCTGTTGATAATCACACGGAAATTAAAGAGCAAAGCACAAATACCAGTGTGCAGAGCTGAAGGCTTTGCTAGAATCAATCTCTGTTGATCCTTATGGCTTTGGAACACTACCATGCTTTGAAAGTCACTACGGTATGCACCTCAGTTTAATTCTTTGTTTCTAGTAAAATATGAGAAGGCCTAAAACTAGTGCTTATGGGTCTGTGTTACTTACATTTGGGGCAGAGAGAGATAGAGCAAACCTTTGAAGGCACACTTACCGCCTCTCTAGTGGGCGCCCGTCACTGGAGATGCTTCGAGGGATGTTGGCGGCTCTTTCTGGAGGAGGCATCTTCCCATCTCCTTTTCCAGCATTCAGCCGCGAGGTCATGGGACTCTGCACCTGGGACGGGACTTGAGGTGAATGAGGCCCCTTGCTGGCGTTCCTCTGCCACTTGTTATTATTTCGGAAGGGAAACTTGAATTCGTATGAAACACCTTCATTCATTTTGTACTCCATCACTGGCATGCGGTAGGTTTCAGAGCAACTCCTATTAGGGGCAAGGCACAGGGAGAAACACAATGGATACTGCTTTTTCTTGCTGGTGGAACCACATTGATTCTCATTAACACTTAAAAATGGATCCACAATTTCACCCTCTGTTTCAAACCACCTTTCAATCTTTGGGCCCTAGTACTTATTTTCTTTTCAAAAACCAGAACCCAAGGAAGTATTATAATAGTATTTTCCTTTACTCAATCCCAACTTTTTGAGTGCGAGATATGGAGTCTTTAAAAAACAATGGGACCCACGGACACCCTGGGGGTGGCCAGACTACTGAGACCTGAGGAGGAAAGGCCACCAGGACAGCATGACGGGGGCATACCTGAGAGCATGAAGTCTCAATGGAAGCAAGCGGCTTCACACACCCACCACTGCACACCACAACTGGGTTCTGAAAGGGTGTATGAGCAGCTTCACAACCCGCCACTGCACATCGTGACTGGGCTCCAAAAGGGTGAACGAGCAGCTTCACACACCTGCCATTGTACACCATGACTGGGGCTCCAAAAGGGTATACAAGCAGCTTCACACACCCGCCAATGCATACAGTGACTGAGCTCTGAAAGGGTGTATAAGCAGTTTCACACACCTGCCACTGCACATCTTGACTGGGCTCCAAAAGAGTGTATAAGCAGCTTCACACACTTGCCACTGCACATCGTGACTGGGCTCTGAAACGGTGTACGAGCAGCTTCACACCCCCACCACTGCACACCATGACCAGGCTCTGAAAGGGTGTATGCGCAGCTTCACATTCCCGCCACCGCACATTGCGACTGGGCTCCGAAAGGGTGTACGAGCAGCTTACAGACCATTTCACTTTGGACCAGCGACATCACAAGTGCTGTGTAGCCACATGCCTCCTGTCCTGGACAGTGCAGGCCCAAAGGGCGTCCGGCCAAAGGCCTGGTCTTGACGTGGATGAGGCTGAAGGCGCGGGGAGGGAAGGTGAGACATGGAGATGGGGGGCAAAGTGGAAGGGTTTACATAGTTGGCTGGCAGGAGAATAAGGACAATGGAAGGTGCCACTCTTTCATGACCTTGTCTACATATCTCAGTGTTGACTCCTTACATTTCAAATGTGTATTCCATAATGCATCTTCTCCCCCACCTTCAGTAGAGTTTTTGTTGTTGGAAAGTGCCACTTTTGGAGCATGTGCTCAGAAGGAGCAATGGCGTCTGCTGCCATCCTTACTTGACTCAGTCATAGCCCACGTCTCCAAGGAGTACTTTCTTCTTGGGGTTTCCTTACCAGTCCCCCAAATGTCCCAAAAGCCAAGGGTGACCTTAATCTGACCCTCCGCCCAAGGCTCCACTCTATCCCTTTTATGCTTTAATAGCAATGGCTTTCACACTTTCTGGATGACAACCTAAGACATACATTTCACACTGGGACACAGCACCACCATATATACACACAGATGTGCATCCTTCCTCTCATGTCTTCCATTTTGCTGTATTCTGAATACACTTCATCCAAAAATACACTGGGCACAATGTCCTAAATTGATTTGATGATCTACTTGAGAGTTATGGTCTGCAGTCTGTAAAACATTGTTTTATGGCACATTTGACATTACTTTTAGTAGTTAATGACTGCTATGTCATTAAAACCTTTTCTCTAATAGAACCTTTTCTCTAATATTAACGAATACTACTTTAGGCTCTGATATAATTTCAAGCTTTGATTCTGATATTTATGACAAAAATATGCCACTGCAACCCTTTTTTGGTTGTTCATAGAGGTAATACACTGTGGTATAGTTTAGAGTCTTTCATTTGTGACTACAGCCTTTCGTTTCTGACTAAATAAGGCATATTATAAAGATCTAATGTTCTGGATCAGTAAATACAATGCAAAAATATTACATTTTACCAAAGGAATATTGACTAAAATTTATAATAATGCATGGAAAAATTTCACTTATGCTCAAAATCTGGACTATCTTTGCTTCTCCTCAGCAATGCTCTTGTTCTAACTTGTAAACTCAAAGAACATCACCATCTATGCCCCTTTCTGTCGGCTGCTAGGAACCAGCACATGTACAGAACTTTATTATTATGTATTTTGGGCACCAACTTTCCAAAAATTTTCACCTAGGCCATGTTTTGCTTTCACTACTACCTCTTCCACCTCCAATTCCCTAGCTAAGCTTCTATTTTAATACTGTACAACTACTTTCTCTTTCTTTTTGAGAGAAGGTCTTGCTGTGTCGCCTAGGCTGGAGTGCTGTGACGTGATCAAGGTTCACCACAGCCTCAACCTCCTGGGCTCAAGTGATTCTCCCATCTCAGCCTCCTGAGTAGCTGGGACTACAGGTGTGCACTGCCACGCTCAGCTAATTTTTGTATTGTTTGTCGAGACAGGGTTTCACCATGTTGCACAGGTTGGTCTCAAACTCCTGAGCTCAAGTGATGTACCTGCCTCGGTCTCCCAAAGTACTGGGATTCCAGGCATGAGCCACTGTGCCCAGCTCACAAGTACTTTCATAGGCTGTTTTAAGTCCATTTTGCATCAGGCAGATAATAAAATAAATAATGATAATGGTAACAGACACAATAACAGCAATAACATAATATCAAACAGACAAGTTACTTTATCTTTGGGTTTCTTCAAACACTCTTTGGAATAGTCTTTTAAACTGCTTAACATTTAGTATGAAAACTGGCTAGAAGGCCTCTCTGGCCAAAGACGCTGTCTTCCCCACAGTCTACATTTTATTTCCACCACTCATAACATATAACTAGAAACTTTCTTCATATCCCACATTGGCCAAATATAGTATGATAAAGTCTGAGCAGAGAGAAGATTCATTCATAAACAATGAATAAGCACAGAAGGTTCTGCAGAGCTAAACTTCAGCTACTCGCCATTTCTGATTGCCTTTTGTGGCCAGGGTAACCATCACTGGCTTCCTGGTCTCTTACTTAACTCTGCAAAACAGAAGAACGTTATGTAGAATCAAGAAGTATACAACAGACTGAAGAATACAGATTAAAAACTGGCTTTTAATGCTATGCATAAACTTTCATAAAAGGATTTTTATTATATCATTCTAAGTAAAATTCTGTGTTGATGAACGGTAACTCTAATAATACCTATAACTTACAATGGGCCAGGCACGAATTTAGCCACTTTACAGCAACTCTATGAAGTGGATGCTATCATTATCCCCACTTTGTAGAGGAGGAAATAGAGGCCTAGAGAGATTAACCTGCCCAAGTTTACACAGCCAGCAGGTGGCAAAGCCAGGATTTAAACCCACAGAATTAATACATACTATGTAGGTAAGACTGTGTAAGTTAGTCTTATTTTAGCCATTAACGAAACCATTCCAATTCTCCAAGGAAAATTCAACAACTTTTATAAAACCCAATTAAAGGGCTATGGCCAGCAGGAATTACAATGTCAATGCTAAACGTGATAAGAGGTGACATGCTGAAACCCTAAATTAATGGAAAAGCTACTCCATCTCCTTACTCTGTTTTTCAGTCTTTGTATTCTTTCTCTTTTATCTTTTATTTCTCATAACTCTCTCCTTTTTCCTTAAGACCCTGTGGAATATAGAGAAATGGTTGACTAGGAAATTGAACAGAACATCACAACACTGGACTCACGAGTCAGAAAAGTTTTATGTTTGAGGATGGCTTGGTCCCTATAAGCCATGTGACTCTGGCTTGGAAAAAAACACATAAATTATTTGAATCAAAACTCCTCCTCTGAAAAATGAGAGATCTGAACCACATGATTTCTAATTGCCCTCTTCACTCTAAAGCAGTATGCTTTAGCACTTTAAAATACTGGATTTTTAAAATGAAGAAAAAATGCTGTGACCTATTCTTATTTAAGAGGTAATTTGGTCTTATGTAACCTGTTTGTTTTTAGCTTGTCATTTTGAATGGCCCTTAATTGCTTTCTTTAAGAACTATAGGCTAGTGGCCCTCAACAGAATAAAGGGTTGACCACTCTATGCAATACCATCCAGAACATCACAATTTAGTCTGTTCATCCAGGTACTTTTCATCTTGTCACGGGAATGACGGTGAAGACCCAGAGGTCACAGAGGTCACTAATCTATTGATGCTGGCTACCTACTGCAGAGGGGTGACAGCAGGGGGGTGAGAATCAGGCAATTCCTGCATAAGGGGCCTGCTCACTCCAGGGAGGTTTTCCAGTGAAGTCTACCAGGACTGTGTCCATCAGGCTGTCATGCTAGCTGGTTCCGTTCACTCTTTGGGCAGCAACTGAACTTCTCCCAGCCTCATTCTCATCGCTGTTTTAATAAAAATGAAGCTGCTGATACGGAAGTGCTGGGAAGGGAATAGCATGTTCCCTTTAAATGATATGAAGCAGGGAAGGGAAGAGCTGGGTAGAGGAGGGAGTGGTCCCTGGCTAGGGCTCCACCCCCACGGATCAAGATGAGGACAGGCACTCCTGCCTTTGTGTCCAGATGCTGCATTTCCAAAGACAACCCTGGCCCATGACGCCCCCATCCTGTGGCTATAAAGACCCGAGGCCCTCTAGATTTTCTAGTTTATTTGCGTAGAGGTGTTTATAGTATTCTGATGATAGTTTGTGTTTCTGTGGGATCGGTGGTGATATCCCCTTTATCATTTTTTACTGCATCTATTTGATTCTTCCCTTTTCTTCTTTATTAGTCTTGCTAGTGATCTATCCATTTTGTTGATCTTTTCAAAAAACCAGCTCTTGGATTCATTGATTTTTTGAAGGGTTTTTTGTGTCTCTATCTCCTTCAGATCTTCTCTGATCTTAGTTATTTCTTGCCTTCTGCTAGCTTTTGAATGTGTTTGCTCTTGCTTCTCTAGTTCTTCTGATTGTGATGTTAGGGTGTCAATTTTAGATCTTTCCTGCTTTCTCTTGTGGGCATTTATTTAGTGCTATAAGTTTCCCTCTACACACCGCTTTAAATGTGTCCCAGAGATTCTGGTATGTTGTGTCTTTGTTCTCATTGGTTTCAAAGAACATTTTAATTTCTGCCTTCATTTCGTTATAAACCCAGTAGTCATTCAGGAGCAGGATGTTCAGTTTCCATGTAGTTGAGCTGTTTTGAGTGAGTTTCTTAATCCTGAGTTCTAGTTTGATTGCACTGTGGTCTGAGAGACAGTTTGTCACAATTTCTGTTGTTTTACATTTGCTGAGGAGTGCTTTACTTCCAACTATGTGGTCAATTTTGGAATAAGTGCAAGGTGGTGCTGAGAAGAATGTATATTCTGTTGATTTTGGGTGAAGAGTTCTGTAGATGTCTATTAGGTCCCACTTGGTGCAGAGTTCAATTCCTGGATATCCTTGTTAACTTTCTGTCTCGATCTGTCTAATGTTGACAGTCGGGTGATAAAGTCTCCCATTATTATTGTGTGGGAGTCTAAGTCTCTTTGTAGGTCTCTAAGGACTTGCTTTATGAATCTGGGTGCTCCTGTATTGGGTGCATATATATTTAAGATAGTTAGCTCTTCTTGTTAAATTGATCCCTTTACCATTATGTAATGGCCTTCTTTGTCTCTTTTGATCTTTGTTGGTTTAAAGTCTGTTTTATCAGAGACTAGGATTGCAACCCCTGCCTTTTTTTGTTTTCCATTTGCTTGGTAGATCTTCCTCCATCCTTTTATTTTGAGCCTATGTGTGTCTCTGCACATGAGATGGGTCTCCTGAATATAGCACACTGATGGGTCTTGACTCTATCAAATTTGCCAGTCTGTGTCTTTTAATTGGAGCATTTAGCCCATTTACATTTAAGGTTAATATTGTTATGTGTAAATCTGATCCTGTCATTATGATGTTAGCTGGTTATTTTGCTTGTTAGTTCATGCAATTTCTTCCTAGCATCAATGGTCTGTACAATTTGGCATGTTTTTGCAGTGGCTGGTACCAATTATTCCTTTCCATGTTTAGTGCTTCCTTCAGGAGCTCTTGTAGGGCAGGCCTGGTGGTGACAAAATCTCTCAGCATTTGCTTGTCTGTAAAGGATTTTATTTCTCCTTCACTTATGAAGCTTAGTTTGGCTGGATATGAAATTCTGGGTTGAAAATTCTTTTCTTTAAGAATGTTGAATATTGGCCCCCACTTTCTACTGGCTTGTAGAGTTTCTGCAGAGAGCCACTGTTAGTCTGATGGGCTTCCCTTTGTGGGTAACCTGACCTTTCTATCTGGCTGCCCTTAACACTTTTTCCTTCATTTCAACTTTGGTGAATCTGACAATTATGTGTCTTGGAGTTGCTCTTCTCGAGGAGTATCTTTGTGGCGTTCTCTGTATTTCCTGAATATGAATGTTGGCCTGCCTTGCTAGGTTGGGGAAGTTCTCCAGGATAATATCCTGAAGAGTGTTTTCCAACTTGGTTCCATTCTCCCCGTCACTTTCAGGTACACCAATCAGACGTAGATTTGGTCTTTTCACATAGTCCCATATTTCTTGGAGGCTTTGTTCATTTTTTTTTACTCTTTTTTCTCTAAACTTCTCTTCTCCCAAGACTAAACCAGGAAGAAGTTGAATCCCTGAATAGACCAATAACAGGCTCTGAAATTGAGGCAATAATTAATAGCCTACCACCAAGAAAAGTCCAGGACCAGACGGATTCACAGCCGAATTCTACCAGAGGTACAAGGAGGAGCTGGTACCATTCCTTCTGAAACTTCCAATCAATAGAAAAAGAGGGAATCCTCCCTAACTCATTTTATGAGGCCAGCATCATCCTGATACCAAAGCCGGGCAGAGACACAACAAAAAAGAAGAATTTTAGACCAATATCCCTGATGAACATCAGTGCAAAAATCCTCAATAAAATACTGGCAAACCGAATCCAGCAGCACATCAAAAAGCTTATCCACCATGATCAAGTGGGCTTCATCCCTGGGATGCAAGGCTGGTTCAACATATGCAAATCAATAAATGTAATCCAGCATATAAACAGAATGAAAGACAAAAACCACATGATTATCTCAATAGATGCAGAAAAGGCCTCTGACAAAATTCAACAGCCCTTCATGCTAAAAACTCTCAATAAATTATGTATTGATGGGACTTATCTCAAAATAATAAGAGCTATTTATGACAAACCCATAGCCATTATCATACTGAATGGGCAAAAACTGGAAGCATTCCCTTTGAAAACTGGCACAAGACAGGGATGCCCTCTCTCACCACTCTTATTCAACATAGCGTTGGAAGTTCTGGCCGGGGCAATCAGGCAGGAGAAAGAAATAAAGGGTATTCAATTAGGAAAAGAGGAAGTCAAATTGTCCCTGTTTGCAGATGACATGATTGTATATTTAGAAAACCCCATCGTCTCAGCCCCAAATCTCCTTAAGCTGATAAGCAACTTCAGCAAAGTCTCAGGATACAAAATACAAGTTCATATGGAACCAAAAAAAGAGCCCACATTGCCAAGACAATCCTATGCAAAAAGAACAAAGCTGGAGGCATCACGCTATTTGACTTCAAACTATACTACAAGGCTACAGTAACCAAAACAGCATGGTACTGGTACCAAAATAGAGGTATAGACCAACAGAACAGAACAGAGCCCTCAGAAATAATACCACACATCTACAACCATCTGATCTTTGACAAACTTGACAAAAACTAGAAATGGGCACAGGATTCCCTATTTAATAAATGATGCTGGGAAAACTGGCTAGCCATATGTAGGAAGCTGAAACTGGATCCCTTCCTTACACCTTATACAAAAATTAATTCAAGATGGATTAAAGACCTAAATGTTAGACCCAAAACCATAAAAACCCTAGAAGAAAACCTAGGCAATACCATTCAGGACATACGCAAGGGCAAGGACTTCATGACTAAAACACCAAAAGTAATGGCAACAAAAGCCAAAATAGACAAATGGGATCTAATTAAACTAAAGAGCTTCTGCACACCAAAATAAACTACTATCAGAGTGAACAGGCAACCTACAGAATGGGAGAACATTTTTACAATCTACCCATCTGACAAAGGGCTAACATCCAGAATCTACAAAGAACTTAAACAAATTTACAAGAAAAAATCAAACAACCCCATCAAAATTTGGCAAAGGATATGAACAGACACTTCGCAAAAGAAGACATTTATGCAGCCAACAGACACATGAAAAAATGCTCATCATCACTGGCCATCAGAGAAATGCAAATCAAAACCACAATGAAATACCATCTCACACCAGTTAGAATGGCGATCATTAAAAAATGAGGAAACAACAGCTGCTGGAGAGGATGTGGAGAAATAGGAACACTTTTACACTGTTGGTGGGAGTGTAAACTAGTTCAACCATTGTGGAAGTCAGTGTGGTGGTTCCTCAAGGATCTAGAACTAGAAATACCATTTCCCAGACATCCCATTACTGGGTATACACCCAAAGGATTATAAATCATGCTGCTATAAAGACACATGCACACATATGTTTATTGCGGCACTATTCACAATAGCAAGACTTGGAACCAACCCAAATGTCCACCAATGATAGACTGGATTAAGAAAATGTGGCACATGTACACCATGGAATACTATGCAGCCGTAAAAAAGGATGAATTAATGTCCTTTGTAGGGACATAGAAGATGCTGGAAACCATCATTCTCAGCAAACTATCACAAGGACAAAAAAACCAAACACCACATGTTCTTACTCATAGGTGGGAACTGAATAATGAGAACACTTGGACACAGGAAGGGGAACAGCACACACTGGGGCCTGTCATGGGGTGGGGGGAGGGGGGAGGGATAGCATTAGGAGATATACCTAATGTAAATGATGAGTTAATGGGTGCAGCACACCAACATGGCACATGTATACATATGTAACAAACCTGCACGTTGCACACATGTATCCTAGAACTTAAAGTATATATACTTAAAAAAAAAAAAAAAAGGAAAATGCCTGGCACCTAGTAGGGGCTCAGAAAGTTTGCTATACTGTCCCTGTCCTTTCTTCTCTTAAAAAAATTGTAGTTTGGAAACGATTCATAAGGGGTCTGCATATTTTCCAAGAACAGGGAAGAGAGCCTTGTTTTACATGTTATTTTATTTATTTATTCTTATTTTTTTGAGATGGAGTCTACCTCCGTCGCCCAGGCTGGAGTGCAATGGCACGATCTCAGCTCATTGCAACCTCTGCCTCCTGGGTCAAGTGATTCTCCTACCTCAGCCCCCAAGTAGCTGAGACTACAGGCATGTGCCAGCACGCCCCCCTAATTTTTTTTGTATTTTTAGTAGAGAAGGCTGGTGAATCATTTGAGGTCAGGAGTTTGAGACCAGCCTCACCATGTTGCTCAGGCTGGTCTCAAACTCCTGACCTCAAATGATTCACCAGCCTCGGCCTCCCAAACTGTTGGGATTACAGGCTTTTACATGTTATTTAAGTACTACTTTTTTGTTGTTGAACTATTATATATATTTTAAAAGCTGCATTTTCAAAATGAATGACTCTCCCATGTGAACACACAAATCCATTTGTGTTTGTATTAGATCCTGGGGGTGTTTGTATTACATACAGTCATCACCTCCCGCACCCCCTTGCTTGTGTCCCTCTCTGGGTCCTGGCGACCCTAAGAACCACCAGGCTGAGGGGTAGAGGAGCAGCTTGCCTCAAGGAGGCCTGTCCTGCCTCTCGCTGCAGCTGCAGTGACTGGTGGTGAAGTCCCAGCTGACAAAGAAGAGAATGACTATTCAAAGAACAGAGTAATTAGTTGCTACAAAAACAGCAGTGGGAGTGTGAAGTGCGGAGGAGAAGAAAAAAATGACACAAGAGCATTATTCTATTTTGTTGAAAATTGTAACAAGGTGTTAATGCTTCAGCTGTTCCCTTTGAAGTTATCTCTAAAGAAAGGAGAAAGGAGCAGGCTTTCAGCCCTCCAAAGGCATCAAGGCATTTCCCACCTGCCCTGCCCAGGTCTGACTTTTCAGATGGAAACTGTATGGCTTTTCAGATGGAAACTGTATGGCTTTTCAGATGGAAACTGTATGGCTTTTCAGATGGAAACTGTAGTGAAAGGGGCCCTGTGTCTCCCTCCAGGCTGGTGGGGCTGTGCAGTGCACTAATCCTTCCCCCAGCCTCCCCTCCTGGCACCCAAGTGACATGTCACTGGCAGCTCCACTGGCTCCTCCGGGAAGGCCTGAGAGCGTCACAGCGGTGTGACAGCTCATTCACTCCCTGGTGTGCTGGAGCTGGTAATCATCCCATCTACCCCAATGCTGCCTGCAGTGACATCACATCGGTAGCTTGGAACCAGCCACAGTGGGAGTATCTGCACCATAGAAATCAGCAAATACTACAAATAAAGTTTTCTTCACCCCAGCAGAAAGCCAACTCACCAGCACATCACTGCTGATTCTAGTGTATAAGGAAAGGATCTGTGCTCTAAGCACACAACGTGGCAGTTCAGAGCCTGGACTCTGATGTTAGACCTAAATTTGTCAGATGAGCTTAGCAAGTTACTAACCTTTGAGTCCCGGTTTCTTTTAAAACAGGAATGCGGCCGGGCGCGGTGGCTCACGCCTGTAATCCCAGCACTTTGGGAGGCCGAGGCGGGCGGATCACGAGGTCAGGAGATCGAGACCATCCCGGCTAAAACGGTGAAACCCCGTCTCTACTAAAAATACAAAAAATTAGCCGGGCGTAGTGGCGGGCGCCTGTAGTCCCAGCTACTTGGGAGGCTGAGGCAGGAGAATGGCGTGAACCCGGGAGGCGGAGCTTGCAGTGAGCCGAGACCCCGCCACTGCACTCCAGCCTGGGCGACAGAGCGAGACTCCGTCTAAAAAAAAAAAAACAAAAAAAAACAAAAAAAAAACAGGAATGCTACTAACACTATCACAAGAGAGGGTTGTTATGAGAATTAAATGCACTAACCCATAAAAAAGTGCTTTTTTCAGGGCCTGGCATATTAAGGTAAAAAACTCAGTATATTAGTTATTTTCACTGACACACCACAATATATCTAGTCTAGTATTCCTCCTATCATGGCTCCATCTATCCAGGATCAGGCCTCTTATCCATCTTTCTAGTAACAGCTATTTCCAATTTCGATGTCTGTACTGTTGTCTCATCCCACCCACAGTCACACAAACCCATTTCCCTCTCCTTTCCCGCATATAAACCTGGGAGCCTAGATACAAGGGAAAGACTTCTGAGTGGGCAAGATGGCATCATAAGGTCAAGGGCTCCATATTTCAGTAGACGGTCCTTAGACTAACATCTGTAACTCTTTACTGTAGGTAATTAAGGTTGACAATTTACAAAGCTTGGCTATCTTCTCCCATTTATAATTGTCTGTTCAGAAGCAATAAAGTAGACAATTTGAAGGAGAGACAGCAGAGAAAGAGACAAGACAAGGAATGCAGCAAGACTGGAGACTGTCATAAGCAAGAACCCCACTGCCTTTCTGAGCCACCTCACATTATTTTTTAAATCACAGTTCAGCACATTACTTAACATTTAATGATGATATGCTTGGGGAAACCAGAAAAGGCTAATAAGGTTCATTAGACCTGGTTAACTAAGGCAGGGTATGTGGGTAGGGCAGTTTCTGAATATTTACTCCTCTCCAAAACAGGTGAAATTAAAAGTTCATATTTTGATTTCCAGGGAAATGCAGTCATCCAAAAGGAAGTTCTTCAAACTATCAGACAAAGGAATTTTTCTATATTTTGACATATATACATAATCCCTAGGCCATCTAGGAGGTAAGCAGTATTAGGAAATACTATCCTGAGCAAAGTATATAAAACACACACACGCACACACACACACATATATATTTGCTGCTCTTTACTTTTTAAAAGACACAAATAGCCTATCATAACCATTAACTTTCTACCATCTGATATTCACAAATCCATGAGAGCTCAGGTGTAGGACTGGTCATCTTAGTGGCAAAATAGGACACAGAACACTGTCTTGGCTTTAGAAAGCCTAAGAATCAATTGCCAAAGCTTAAGAGAAATTCTTAGAAAATAATGGCATAAACTAAAAAGAGAGATCTTAAAAACTAGCAAAAATAGCATGTGCATGTCCAAAGGAGAAAATAAACAGTTGATTAAATTTCTTCCACCAATAAACCTCCCCAGAGACAGAGAAATTAAATTTTCAACAGTGCTGCTGGCTTGGCAGGAGCTGTGGGGGGTTGGGTGGGGCAGGGAGCTCTTAGGTTTTCCCTTCTGGAAAAGACTAGGAACCAAAATGCCAAAGCACCATGAGCAGGGGCAGCTCACCTGAAGCCAAACCCTAGCACATGCAGATACAGTTAGGAAAGCAGCTGCCAGACTGAGACAGCAAAGGTCCAAACAATTGCTGAGTTTTGGGCAGCAATTAGGAGAGAGAAGAGAATAAGAGCATCATGGAACATAGAAGAAAAGCAATCTGACAATTTGAGATGTTGAGTGTCTTTTAATGTTCAATGTGTTCAATGTTTCTCAGCTCCCAGTGGAAAATTCTTAAGATAGATATTACCAGACTTCTCTATCTGTCATGGCAACTTTATAAATCCAGTGATGTAAATCCTGGGAATGGTCCCATTTAGTCACTCTTTCCAGCTGCTGTCACCACACACTGAAAGGGAGCTTCGTCCTGAGTCAGACTCCATGGATGAAACATTCAGCATCACATGTAACCTATTGTTCTTCACAACACCCTACTCCACTACCTGCTAAGAGATGTTCTACATGGTACACAAACCCTGCACTCGAGTCTCAGGCCCACAGCTGTCTCCTCAGACCTACCTCCGCGGGGTGCAGTCATCATGCGGGGGAATGATGACAACCTTCACCGTGACAGATGTTCTCAGGAGGTCGATCATCTGCTCATGGCTCAGAGTGGCTACCGCCACCTTGCAGATCTCCACCAGGCGACTGCCCTGCCTCAGCCCTGCCTGCCAGGCATAACCGTAGGGCTCCACATCCGCCACAATGCCCTCATAGTTGACATGGAAGCCAAGCTGTCCTAGCCCATTTCTTCGCAGAGTCATCTCCACCGATTCACAGCCTTTTGAAACAAACTAGACAAGGAAATAAAAGATACTGTGGTTTAAAGCAATAGGGTATTAAGTGGTGGACATGGAACTGGAAAATCATTGCAAGCAGGGTTAGTTCTGAATACCTTATTGCCAGCTGAAGAGCAGTCTGGTTATTTCCTCTTCACTAATCTCCTATTCATTAGGCCAAAAGGAATATACTTGTTGCATCCAAAAAGCTCAACGGCTTCCCTGAAGTTACAAGGAAACCTCTACCAGAGACCTACAGGGAGCTGGCAGTAAATAGAAACCATATACTGCTACTCATTTAGCCTTTGTAAAATTCAAGGCAGCAGATACTCAAGCAATTCTTTTCAACACCACCACCAGATGACTGGACTGCAGCACCAGGGAACAGGTCACATGCAAATGGGTTTTGAACATGAACGCACACACACACACACACACACACACACACACACACACACACAGAGTAAATGTGTCTTCCCCAATTTGTTCTACTTTTCCGAAACATCCATGGAAAACACAAGCATGAGATAAACTCTGTTTGCTTCACACATCAAGGGAGTTTTCAGAGGAGCTAATAACAGAGCACAAGGTTCAGTAACTTGGCTCTAGTCTGTATTGAAAACTTTATGAAAGAGAAACTGCATGTAAGGAAGAGGAAGGAGAGACTCACCTGCAACCTTTTGACAATCTCTTTGATCTCCTCAATGTTAATAAAACTACCCACTGAAACACATTCTCCTCGTTCATAGAAGATTTTGAGGCTGGTGTCAGTTGAAGTCCACCCTATCACATCTCTACAGGAACAATTGAAGACCACGCTCTTTGTTTCCTGTTCAATGAGCACAATGAACTCATTGGAGATCCCTAAAAGGCAGTCTAGTTCCATGGCCTTGTTGTAGTCTTCAGCCCGGACTGCCCATACAATGGCCCCCATGCTGCTGAGCTCGGCTCCTGGATATGGCTTAGACTTTTCCTTCTTCTTGGAAGCCAGAGAGATGAACGGAAACTTGCCAGAAGGGTCGATAGGGGTGTTGGTGACATTCTTTTCTGCCAGATCTTTCAGGTATTCCTGGCGGGTCCGAGTTGCCATGGCCCGAAACTTCTCCGATTTATGAGCAGCATTTTCTGCATTAATCACTTTCGCCAAAAGGAAGTCCCTGAACACATTTGACTTAGGGAAAGTGACCCCTTTAGGAATGGGAGGCCCAAAGGAAGGCACATCTCTGGACCTGGTAACAGCCACACTGAGAGACAAAGATCAAAGAGAGCCACGTCAGTATTTCTCAGTCTCACAACATCAGAATAAAATATACTTTCTCAAAGACAAAGATGTACCTCAGATACAAAATAGCTGCTTATTTTTCCATGAGAAACAACACACATTTCTGCTTAATACGAGTATATTTTTTCATTCTACCGCATTTAGGATTTACACAACATAATTTTTTTTCTAGGCCAAAAACAAACCTCCCAAAATCCCAAAAGCTAACACTATTAACTTTTTTTTTACCAGACAGGAAACTGACCAAAACTCCATGAAAAAAAATAGGTTTACTGTAATATTCTGTGTAAGACATTTTAAATACCTACTAACTGTTTTCAAGGGAGGTTACTGTAACCACATCATCTTTCAGAACAAGCATACATTCTGTGAGAACACAAATGTGTTCTCCATTTTAGATATGATGGCTATAAGCAGACAGCTTACATTGAAAATATCAGAAGATGCATGCCATAAAAGAAATGAATTAAATTTCAATAAAACTTAACTAGTATTTGTTGGCCTAAGTGTGAGGCATTATGCAACCAGATTAAAAGCATAATTTTAAAATGAAAATTGGAATCTGAGTAATAGTATGAGAATCTTTATGTAATAGCAACAACGCTTTAAAATCATATTTTTAAACTGAGCTATTCCTTGGTCCTTTTGGTATTTTATTCTGATAATCTATTTCTAAGAAAAATATTTTCCTTCTCCCATTCCTTTAAGCAAGATTGATATAAGAAAGCCTGTTCCAGTCATTTCTTCTGACTATATATTCCTAAAATTGGGCCTAAGAAAAGGATCATATGAACATTTGTAATAACTTATTATTTTTAACCTCAAAAGGAAAAAAAGTAAGTTTCTCCTAAAACAACAAAGGAAGTTGTTGATATAGAAATAGAGAGGTTGAGTGTTTTATATCATTTCCCAAGATTTTAGTAAAGTTTGACATGACTGGAAATGATTCTAACACATCGAAGATCGCTCTTTCCAAATTAAAAGTGAACAAATTATGCAATTATACTTAGTATTAGGGAAACAATAAAAAAATCGGTTTCTTCTGAACTCTTGGAATAGAAATGGCATCATCAGAGAGTATGCATCTTTCAAATAAAATTGAAGAGCTCTGTTTCACTTTTTTTTCTTTAGGAAGGGTTTGCTTTAAGATATTCAGCTTTGTTTTTCAAGAAATAGTTATTTCTTGTGAAAATAAGAAAAATAAAAATCAGCAACCTCAGGAGGCAAATTATATTTCTGGTGGAATGGAAAAGCTACATGCTCAGAAGATGCCATGGGATGGCCTATCTGTTGGTTTTACAAGTGTATTTTTAAAAGACTACCTAGTTCACTTCATGACAAAGAACAGTGGCAACCAACACTCCATTTTCTAACTGGAGGAGAGAATTCAGAGACTTCCATATGGCTTAATTATACCAATATGTATTAGGAAGGCAATTTTTCTTGTCTATTGTGAACTGCCTGACTTGAACGCTGACAGCTGTATAATTTTAATTTGATCGTGTTATTTTTCTCTTAAAGTCAAGCAAAAGATGCTGAAATCCAGGTTTGCTAGATTTTTCTAAGTGGAATCCTGTAAGAATCCAGAAATATTTAATATCTTTCACTTTAAAATTGGCAACTTCTCATCTGCTATTTCACTCAAATTGTTATTCCTTCTCAGAAAATATCTGTGATTTTATTTTAAATAAGGAGAGCAAAATGTTTAGCAGGGGGTGTGATTTTAAGCACCCTCCATCTACTTGCCCCTTAAACTAACTGGCTTTCTGCAGATCCATTTATTAATTGATAGAACTTTAGACAAACATACACTGAAAACCTACCAATAATTAGAAACAGCTATAATGAACTGTGAGGAAAAGAACTGAATCCTTACCATATAATTTTCAATGATTCACTGTGGTAGGGAGGTAAATGATACAGGCACTGAAATCAGCTTCGCATAGTCAGAAATAGAATCCTTACAGAAGATGAGGAAGATGATACCCTGGAATGCTCTTTTCAAATAAATGATTTTGTTTTGGATAAATCAAACTGGCAAGGTTTCTACAAGGTTAAAAGCTCATTAATTTAGATGCCACAAATTCTGAACTCTTGATAATAAGGCCTGGTTTAAGCTAAACAGAATATTTAGAAAAAAAGCCTTTCTAGAATCTCAGTTTGCTGCATGTAGTTACTTAAGATATATTAATTATAAACGGTTCTTGGTATTTTTAAAAGCAGATTCCAAAGGGCCTCTGCTTGGCTGTATGTATATTAGCCTAGTTGGCAATTCTGTGTCTTCTTGGAAATAATACATGCTTTAAAATCATAGCCATGCTTTATTTACCCAGCATTGTTGAGGACTGGAATGTTCTACTCAGCAGGGTTATCTAGATGACAGACAGACAGAGCTAGAGGCTAAAACAGTGATGGAAAGTTATCACAGGAAGGGAACTTAACAGAACTCAATGTTCCTCAAATTCTTTCAGTAAAATCTTTGGGTTTCATTTGAAAATTCACCTCGATTTTACATTCTACTGAAAAATATTTGTGTTCATTTTCATATAAAAATATCTTCTCACTCCAAAATCTTTGGGTACACTGAGCGACCAGGAAGGTGTCTTGTTTGTATTCTGTGGTTTGACATCTTCATGAACCTCCGGTTGAGCAGCTGGTACAAATTCTTCACTTCTCCAGGAACAGATACAGAGAAGTAAAAGGATTTACCCAGATTTGTTAGAGAGAGCCAGGATTGGAATGTAAGCTTCTGGACAGCCAAGAGAGTGCTCCACGACAAGCCCACACTTACTCCCTCTGAGGAAGTGCTTTCAAACCTCCTACTCCTGAGGTGCCTGCTAAAAGGGACCATTCACATGGGTCACATGGCCTAAGAGATGATGAGGCTATTTCTACTCGATATGGGCCATGTAACATTGGTTGGCATCAAAGAGCTTGAATGAAATAACAAGTGTTGATACCCAAAGCCAACTTCAAGCTGACACATGAAAATGTTCCAAAGACTTTTTTTTTTTTTGAGACGGAGTCTCACTCTGTTGCCCAGGCTGGAGTGCAGTGGCGCGATCTCGGCTCACTGCAACCTCTGCCTCCTGGGTTCAAGCAATTCTCCTGCCTCAGCCTCCCCAGAAGCTGGAACTACAGGGGCCCGCCATCTCGCCTGGCTAATTTTTTGTATTTTTAGTAGAGACAGGGTTTCACTGTGTTAGCCAGGATGGTCTCGATCTCCTGACTTCATGATCCGCCTGCCTCAGCCTTCCAAATTGCTGGGATTACAGGCATGAGCCAACACGCCCGGCCTGTTTCAAAGACTTCTGAACAGTTTAGTGGATAAAAATTGAGAAATATAAGACATTTGAACTTTGGAAGCACAATGGAAAAACAGCAATAATCAACAATCCCCAGCCCAAAATTTAAAAGGAAGGTGATACAGAAAACATCAAATGGGAGAAGGAAGTTTCCTCTTCTTGGAGCCTGAATCAGATTACTGGCCAGGGCAGCTTCCAAGAAAGCAGATCTGGGCAAAGGACAGGAAAGATCAAACACGTGCCAATCATTCTCTCGATTTCTAATAGTATTGATCCACCAGTCACTGAGTACCTACTATGTGCTAGGCACTTTGCCTTTGCTGAGGATCAAGGCTGAAGATGTCCCGGGCTCAGCCCTCCAGAAACTCAAAGTCTGGTGGGAGCCACAGCCAGTGATTTGAGTCTCCTACTTGCGAAGTACAGGGTGCTACTGGTAGCACTTAGGAAAGGCACTTTAGTCCTGGGAGGTCCAGGGAGCCTTCTCAGAAAAAAGAAAAGCAGGAATTCATCAGATGGAGGGAAAGGGGAATGTGTGAGAGGAGCAGCATGTGCAGAGCGGAGGGGCAGAGCATGCTGTTCTGGGGAGTGGTGAGTAGCTCCAAAGGAGTGAGGTAGGCATGGGGTGCAGACTGGTAGATGAGACTGAGAGACAGGAGGCCAAACCTGAAGCCCCCATGCAGTAAGCTATGCTTGCAAGTCTGAACTTTCCTCTAAATGCTTTTAAGCACAATAAATGACATAATCAGATTCTTGTCTTAGAAAGGTCAGCTGCAGTGGACAATAGGGATGCTGATTAATTGAGGCTTGAAATAGACCTTCTGAAAGAAATTTCTATCACTTGACCTACTTGGATTTTTCTTCTTCTCAGCTGAAGCTTGCAAATTCTTTTTTTTTTTTTTTTTTTTTTACAGAGAGGAAAGAGGATGAACACAGACATTTAATGGACATGCATCACGCTTCCTCCCTGCCTATGCTAGACATTTTACTTAATAGGATTTTAAGTGGATGTCAAGCAACTTCCCACTGCACTGTTTAACAATTTGGTCTAATTCCAAGTGCTTTTTGTACTATATCATACAGATTCCTTTCAACAGTTATTACATTTTAATTACCGGGTATGGAAACCTCTCTGAGAGGAGTAACACATATTTCTACCTTCCTAAACATACCTACTGACCACAGTTTAATATTTGTTTTGAACAATCAGGGTCCTTGTTATGACTACTTATTACTATTTTAGTTTTAAAATGAATAACAACTCTTTTATTTCATCAAATAGTGTGTCAATGTTCCAATTTACAATTGTTTAGGATGTCCTAGGATTTTCTTTATAGTCTTTTTGTCTAAATTGGGATCCAAATAGGATCCACACATTGCAATTAATTTAGCTTTAAAAAATGTTTTATTCTGTAGATTCCCCTCCACTTCCTCACTATTTCTTGCAACTTACTTGTTGAAGAAATGGGGCATTGTGTCTGCAGAGTTATTCAGGGTCTGAATTTTGTCAACTACAAACATGTTCCTCTGTCTTTTGTATTTCCTATAAATTGGCTTTTCTGGAAGCTTGATCAGATTCAGATTTAATTTTTTTTAGGGGGTAGCAAAAATAATTCATAGGTGAGGTTGTATTCTTCCATTATGAGGCACATATTTGTCTCTTTTTATAGTATTTGCATCCTTTGATGATCAATGCTTAAATCCATTAATTCTGTAGTTGTTGAAAAATGGTATTATCTTACACTGTGTTTCCACAGTGAAGCCCTCAGGAGTGACTGAAGCACACAATAGTTCCCCCTTATCTATGGTTTTAACTTTCTGTGGTTTCAGTTAGCCGTGGTATAGTACAGTGAGGTATTTTGAGAGAGAGACCACATTCATATAACTATTATTAAAGTATATTGTTATAACTGTTATATTTTATTAATTACTGTTAATATATTACTGTGCCTAATTTAGAAATTAAACGTTATCATATAGGAACAAACATAGTATATATAGGGGTAGGCACTATCCATGGTTTCGGGCATCCTCTGGGGGTCTTGGAATATATCCCCAACAGATAAGGAGGAACTACTATATTTGGCTGTTTGCCCCAAAATCAAATGGCCCCAGATTGCTATGCTTATTGAATTCATATCTTTGATGTGAATAGTTTTTCAGCATCTCTTCTATCAATAAACAAGTATTTGTTTCCAGTATATACTCGCTATTAACAGCTCCTTCTTCTTTTTTTTGCTTCTAATCTTCTCTATCAACTGGGATCAGATAATTAAGGTCACTGCAACGATACAAATAAAACAATAGAGACTGGAGGGCTCTCATCAGTTATGGGATAAGCTTTAGTATGCAGACTTAGTGACTGATTTCTGAGTTCTTGGCTACATGATGACTCACATTAACTGGCCTCTGGAATTAGTCTGAATTAGTCAGTTATTCCTATATAAGCTTTCTAGTCCCCAGGGAGGTATAATACCACATTATTTTGAGATCTCATGTCTAGATCCACTATAGGGATTTTTCTCTCTTTGTTCTCATGTTATATCCCAGGGTCCAGAGTAGTGTCTAGCACATATATGCTAAGGGCTGGATAAAGAACTAATGAAAAATAAATGGATAATGACAGTCTCCAAATTTATCTTTCTGTGTACAAATTACCTAGCATGGTAACACTGGATAATTTTTCCTGGAATTCTACTTATGTAGTGTTGAATTGATGGCCTAGCATTCTGGAGGCCTCTACTGCCTGGTCATCTTTTCTGCATTAGTAGGCCTTTTTATTGTACTTTCCATCCTCCTTCCCATTTCTAGGCTTCTGTCCTTTCCACTGACCACTCCTAGAATGGTTTCTCTTTTTCCCATTGAATTCCATCCAGCTATGCTTTAACACACACATCAAATCCCATCTTCTCATAAATATCCATATAACTTCAGCCTGTAATGACCCCACACCTCTCCACACTATTACTGCAAGACACTCTTTCAAGGAAACTTCTCCCCTTTCCACAGTTCAGATACCAGGTAGGTGTAAGTAAATAAATATGTGTGTTCATGGTGGAGAAAGTTGGGACCAAGAGGTTTTAAATGCTAAAAAGCACTTGGGGTACAAAAAATAGAAAGAATGAATATGACCTAGTTATTTGCTAGCACAACAGGGTGACTATAGCTAAAAATAATTTAATTGCACGTTTAAAAATAACTAAAAGAGTATAACTAGATTGTCTGTAACACAAAGGATAAATGCTTGGGGTGATGGATACCCCATTTACCCTGGTGTGATTATTATGCACTGCATGCCTATATAAAAATATCTCATGTAACCCAAAAATATATACACCTACTATGTACCCACAAAAATTTAAAAATTAAAAAAACTTTAAAAAAGCATTTGAGTTACTCTAGCTATATCACTTAGGGATAAAATTAAATTAGATTTAAATAAAATGAGTATAAATCAACCCATGTCTAAGTTTTTCCACCAAACCACCCCTAATAAAACAGGCCTATAAATTCATATCCCTAGTAGTTCGGGGAGTGGCTGGGGCTTGAGAAAAATTCACAGGTGTAGAAATTCTTTGAAGACCCATGTTTTATCTGAAAACTGATATTTTCCATTCTACCTCATAATACATTTATTTTCATGAGAAAATAAGCTCGTCCTTACCCTGCCTCCCCCCAACATTAAAGGCTTGAAGAAAGGTGTCCTGTTTATTCTGTGTCTTCAAACACTTCCTGACATCACCACATACCTGAGGAGGTGTGCCTGCCTCTTTTGAGAAGGATGGCAAAAAATTATTGATCTTTAAAGTTTGCAATAGGCATAGGTCACTGCTCTATAATCTCTTGTGATTTCTTTCAGTGATGTTACAAACTAATGTTTTCTTGGATTTATAAACAGGCCAAAATTCACAGCTTAAAAGCTGTGTGTTGGGCCTTCAAACAAGCCTGGTAACTAGGAAATTCCAGACCTGCCCACATGTCTTGAGCAGGGGTGTTCAGTATCCCACTTCCCGCAAAGACTTCTAGCATTAAATGATGGGGTTCAAACGGTGGGCTCTCCAGGCAACAGATTAAAAATAAGAGAGAGAAAGCAAAAATCCTAATTTTCAGGGGAGGGATGATAAAAATAAAAAAACAAAGCACTGAAGAAGGAGAACATACCTCCCTGAGCAGTCTGTTTAGACTTGTGTGGTTCATTACAGTGGCCACAGCCAGCTGTGGCTATTGAGCACTTGAAATGTGTCTAGTGTGACCAAGGAATATCAAATTATATTAAATTTTAATTAATATATGATTTAAAAATGGATACTTAATTCTGTTATTTTAAAGATTTTTAAAAGTCCATTTGGAAGAATCTAGGTATATTAAATCTACCTTTTCATTATAAATTTTATGAAATCTAAATATACATCAAGTATCACCAATGAAAATTTAGCATTCTAATTGAGATATGCGGTAAGTCTAAAATGTACTTCAGGTTACAAAGACTTAGTCCAAAAAACCATGTAAGATGTCACAATAATTGTTAAATGCTGAAATCACATGTTAATTCATGTTGAAATAATATTTAGATATACTGAGTAAATAAAATGTATAAATTGGTCAAAAACAGTGTCAACATTAATTTCATCTATATCTTGGCACTTTTTAAAAAAATCTGGCTATTAAAAAATGTAAAATTAATATGTAGCTTGCATTATAGTCCCATTGGACGGTACTGATTCAGACAAAGGCTTGAAAAGAAGAAACTCTCTTTAAAAGAAACTGCATAGCTTTCCACTCCCCAAACTTTGAAGTGCCCATTCAAAATGGGCTTAACTTTCTACCTGTCAAGTGGTATGAAATCCTTTGCATGAATCTAGTACATAGCATGTTTTAACTGCTCAGAGTATTTTCTAAATGCAAATAGTTATCCATCCCAATTATAGTCAATTGTTCTGTGCTTTCATTCTACAACTAACCAGAGCAGCTCTCAGACACCATTTCCTTGATAAGAGGTTTCAGATCTAGGTCTTCATTGTTGGGGGTTCTGCCCCAACCCTAGGAAACTACAGACCTCCCTGGTCTTGGGTGTTCACCTAGGCTCAGCACCTGAAAAGTTCTGGAACAGCCTCTGTGTTGGGAGCTCGGAGTGAAAAACCCAGCTTTCCCAGCATGTAAGAGAGGCGGCATAGCAGCGTGGTTAAGAGACTGGGCTCTAGAATCAAACTGACTGCATTCCTGTCTAATTCTGCTCAACACTAGCCAGCTAACCTGAGGCAAGTGACCTGGCTGAAATTTCATCATCTGAAAATGGAGATAAAAGCAGTACCTACCTCATAGGTTTTAAAGATTAAATGGGATATACATGTAAGATGTCTAGAATAGTTTGGGGCTTATAACAAGAGCTCAACCAATGCAGTTATTAGGATATGTGCAAGGATGGTGACAGCCAGCAGGAGACCAACATAACCTCTACTTGTTTTTTTTCCCTAAGCTACGCTTACTCTACTCCTAGAATTAATCTGCCTTACTCCTAGAAATATACAATTGTGGATCTCACAAACTGTCAATGTGCACAGGTCACTTTCTATGCAGGTAACATTTTTTAGGGATGGAAAGATACGCCAAATGTCCATATTTTGAAAGGAACTGATGCACATTAAAAACATCTTACAAATGCCAGAACATTACCCTTACACATTCTGGCACTACACCCCTATCGAGCTAGCGTGACAGGTCCCTATCTCCTTCAACTCCTAACTCTAGTATTCTTACAAGAAAGGTCTCTGCAGATAGAGGCCTGAATTCTGATACTCATGTGACTACGTCAACAAGTAACACTGAAACAATTTCAATAATGCTAAATAAAGTATAGAAGCGTTTCTAAGCTTGTAGTCAGAGTGCTAACGTGAATCAAGTAAGTCAGAGGCAAGGATTTAGGCTTCTTTAATAACAATGCTTTTCAAAAAATTAACTTCTCTTCCCTATTTATTATAATCGTTCTTCTCTGCTCTTGCCATGCCAAAAGAAAAATATAATTAGCAATATGAGTAATTAGTTGGTTGGTGACCAGATGGTATGGATGAAGGACATCACCTAAGAAGGAGGTGCAAATGGAAACGGCAGGTGTCTAACCAACATGCTTGGGTAATGTCAATGCCACCAGATTACATCATCATGTGAATTCAGCCATCCGCATGCATGGTTTAAAGACAAAAAGAAATAGTAATAGACTTCCCATTGCCACTTTAGAATGCAGAGCTGAATGGGGCCTCTATGCGATAACCAGCCAACATCCACAGAGCCCCTGCTGTGACACCCATACACACCTATAACAGACACTGTCAGAGCACGGATTGTGCACCCTGACGATGACGAAAACGTGCTGGAAGTGGGATCGGATGTTTTTTGGGCTGAATGGCTGTGCTCCAGGCTCTTGGAAAACAATTGTTACGATATCATTTCCAATGTGCCGCTTCCTCAGGAGCTACAAGAAAAAATAAGCAACCAACATAAATAACAATCATTTGCTTCCCCCGCCACCCCAATTCCCTTATATAGCTGTATTTAAAACATCCATTCCTAATCAGTACACATGAAGGTAGGTAATCTACACAGGTACTGTCAATGTTTTCACCTGCCTTATTCCCTCTAAGGAAGAACATAGAAACGAACATTCTGAAATTTGCATAAAAGATACAGCCATTCAAATAGATCTACCCAATATCTGGCATATTATGCCAGGTCCCAACATCACCAAACCCTCAGTTTCTATAACAACAGTGTTGTTCCATTTTCACATAAGAAAAACACGTGCCACAGGGAAGATTTTTAGAGATGAGAATGGCTGAAATAATTACAATGTAATTTATGTTCTGGTTTAACTGGCCTCATTGAAAGAAAATGTGGCTAAGGTGTTTTCTGATATATGTTTTGTGTCACAAGCTGGGCATGTAGAAAAGAATAATATTCCAGAATGTTGCAACAATTAAAAGCAGGTAAATTTCAGGTTTAAACAGCTTCTTTAACTGCAATGAAAGCTGCTTAGGGACACCCTCTGTTTCACATTCACTGGGTTTTGGATGGGTGGCTTTCAAACTCAGGCACCCCAAATCATCCTAGGTCAGTGCCTTTCAGCAGTTAATTCAATAGTGTAAAGGAAAACCAAACAAAATTTGTGTTTCTCAAACTTACTGTACGGAGGCTCTTAAAAAAGAAAAACAACTAAGTGTGACATTTATATAAACTATCCATTAGACATAAGCTTGTACTTACAAAACTTGTATTTAAAAAAATATTCTCTGGTGACATTAAGGCATACAAATTGCAAACCAGTAAAATCAGTGATCTAGTATTGGCTGCCAGGTGGGAGAAATAATAGCCTTTTAGATTAGGGTTGCAAATTGGGAGTTAGAATGTTCAGGAAATGCACTTTTAACCTCAGGAATTTGAAAGCATCCCAAATTGTCTTCTAATGAAGCAATTTATTTCTGAGTTCATTTCTAAATATGATATACAAACAGACGTTATGAAAATAAAGGCTGGTGTGTATTGATTGCTCTACAGAACATACCAATAATTAAAGATTATTAATCTACTCAAGATCTTGGACATACCAAAAACAAATACTATTTATCTACATGTTATGCCATTCCTGCATAAATGATGTCATTTTCTGTAATATTATTCATTCTTCAAAATATGGCTTGACATATAAAAATAAATGTCTTAATAAAGGACCCAAATAGAAACAAATCCATTTTTCCATCTTATACTACATATAATGAAAAATATTTTATTAAAAATATTTGCAAAAGAATTTTTAAAGATACATTTTTCCTGGTTTTTTTTTCCAAGCATAAAGTAATCTACATAGAGGAAAATAAATTTTTTGGCTAGAGAGTGAAAATTTTTTCATATGTTGCAGTACCAATTTCTTTCTCATTCTGATTTAAGACTGTAACATTTTTGCCTTGATTGGACTCCAAAATTAAATAATTGAGAGAGCTGCCATTTAAATGCCCACTTTCTCTGCCTACCACTTCAACTCATTTAGTTACAAATAATCAATCCAATCTTGTTAGTAAATTTTTTACCCTTACAAATCTCATCTTTCTCTTCTAAGTGATCAGGCAGAATAAGCCTTTATGCTCTCTTTAAGGATCATTTTGTTAATGTTCTTAAATTTTTTATCTACTGACTGGTCAGAATAAGTTTATTATGCCTTTCTTAGCATGGTGTTTTTCTTTCAAAGAGAGCTAAAATCTGGAATTTGCATAAAACAAATTATCAACAAAGTACAGATCAGGGAGTTTATCTTAAAACAGGTTTACTTCAGATTTATAGCTGATTCATTGCTTTGCTCTCTATTTTTTATTACACTGGCAATCATGAAAGGCAAAACTTTGTTACCTAGATTTGTGATTTAATCAAATGTAAACTGATAAAGTGTTAGATTAGATCAGTGTTTGGTTAACTTCTGTGAAAGAGGATGTGATTCATTCTGCAGCTGGCCTGTGCTCTGTTAGCACAACAATTGACAAAAACAAAAATCCATATCCATTTGAAGGTCAGAAGTAAAATTGGACTGCTCAAGTTTGTAATAGCTTTTAAAAGAAGTGTGTGTTAGCTCTCTGGTTCTTTTAAATTTCAATTTGCTACTATTTATTTTAAAATATTTTAAAAAATCAACTACCACATATTCCCTAAAACAATAGTGCCAGTTTCCAGTTTGCTCTGTAACAATCTGTCACCTCTTAGTTTCCACATTTTACTACCTCACTTACACTTTAGTAATTGGGCATTGAGCTTTTAGATCATTTTAAGAGAAGCTCTGTGTATGATGTGCACATATGCAATTGTTATTTATGTTCTTTGCTATCTCCCAATGAACATGGTAAGGAAGAATATCATTCTGTTGACATTTGACTTTTTTCCAAGTTAGTATTTTATATCTCCTTTGAAATCTATAATGCAACCTCAGAACTTTCCTATTCTGTGCACTGACCTCTTGAGATGAAACTTCACCCACTCATGGATGTTCTTTGCAACCCTGCAGAGTCATGTAATCACCAATGATTTCAACTTGTTCCTCAGATTTCATGAAAACCTCAATCCCCGTGGGTGAAAAGCAAATGATTAATTCACAAAGGCATCCAGCTGGCTGTTAACCTAAAATTTGTGTCTCTTCATTTGTTTTCAGTTCATTTGCTATTCCTTACTTCCACAAAGCACAAAGCTTCCCGCTGCTGTGACAGGTGCAACACTAAATTCTGGTTTAAGATTTTACAAACTTGCCACTTAGGCTTCTAGAGGAAATGAAACAAGGGTGAAAACACAGATAACAGGAGGATCTCTTACCTGTTGTTTGTTGTTGGGTGTGTATGGCAGCATGGTAGAAACATGGAACATAATTTCATAATCTTTGTATGTTGTGTACAGAGAATGGGTTCCAGTGGAGTCAGCTACAGTTAAAAAAAATATAATGATGAGATGACTATAACAGGAAAAATAATTTATTTAAGAGAAATATCTCAAAAAAGAAAAGAGAAGAAAAGAAAATGATTTAGGATGAAAAGATTCTAGACAAGACAGGTGTTCTTCCTTTTTTTTTTTGTATTTGATCCTCTTTGGCAGTCTAGTGAAGCCTACGGATCAGATCCCTTCTCAGAATAATATTTGTAAAAGTATAAAATAAAAAACATAAGATTTCAAAAGAAATTATATCGAAGCGCACAGTATCAAATAATTTTAAATATGAATGCACAAGATTTATATAACAAGATTTAGCAGTTGGTCTAATATCTACTGTAATGCTGAAGACATGATGAGCACAAACACTCTTGAGATGTCTGCAACAACAAATAATATAATACGAAAATATCTGTGCTTTCTATTGGCAATGAAATCACAGGTAAATGAATTACTGTGGTTTACTGCCTATGGCCATAATGAACAGAAATGCTAAATTTCAACTTGGGGTCAGTGAAAATAAAGAAAATCTTATTTCCCATCCAAGTTCACAGACCCCTGAATTCTGTCGACACATCAAGTTAGGAAACATTTTTCTAATACTTCCAATTCAAGCAAGAGACTTGTTTTGTTCTTAAAAAAAAAAAAAAAGACAATAATTTAACAAGACCATTAACACTGAAGAACAAAGTTGACACAGCAACGTCTAACAATTTTTTTAAGACTTAAGCATGTTGTGTTCTCACTTTCCTTAAGAAAAAAAAAACCTCTACTGCCTTTATCTTAACAAAGTTTCAGAATCAGTGTTCCCACAAGTACCTGGAAGCTGCAGAAAAAAGTTATTAACTTCCCAACTCAAAGGGAATACCTGTTTAGACTCAAAGGATCTGGACTTAGGGGTTGCAAAAGGAACAGAAGTACATTCACTGTAGGTAAACTCAACCCTCTATCAACCCAATTTTTTTTTTTTTTTTTTTTTTGAGACAGTCTCACTCTGTCGCCCAGGCTGGAGTACAATGGTGCGATCTCGGCTCACTGCAACCTCTGCCTCCTGGGTTCAAGCGATTCTCCTGCCTCAGCCTCCTGAGTAGCTGGGACTATAAGTGCATGCCACCATGCCTGGCTAATTTTTGTAGTTTTAGTAGAGACGGGGTTTCACCATGTTGGCCAGGATGGTCTCAATCTCCTGACCTTGTGATCCACCCACCTTGGCCTCCCAAAGTGCTGGGATTACAGGCGTGACCCAACATACCTGGCCTCGACCCTATTTTTTGAGGACCAAAACACTTGATGGCATTTTAGAGAACGATGCTCTCAGACAAAGTCTCTGACACATACCAAAAGGCAACAGTAGTTCTGAAAACTTAGTATGCACAGCATCAGCTGTGGAGCTAAATTAAGAGGCAGATTCCCAGGGCCCACCCCCCAAAATACTCCTCAGTGGGTATAGGGCCTCACAGGGGAATCTATTCTTCACAGACACTCCCAGGTAGCTCTAATGCAGTAACTCCGCTGCCGTTAGGTACTGCTCTAAGAATAGACTACAACTGTGGCTTGCAGACAGCTTTCTAAAGATATTCTAGAGCTCTGAGTTTCAAGCTTGAGCTTGTTGGAGAATCTTAATTTTGAAGCTGACATAAAATGCGAAGGCTTAAAAATAGTCAAAAATAGAACAAAGCAAAGACTACTTTTCAAAAATTGGAAAACTATGTAACAACATATAAATATCCAAGAAAAATATCTTCTAAGTATTAATGACCATCACAACAAAAAAACTGTGTATTACTACAACAAAGGATTCAACTGAACTATTTAAGACAGGTCTTGAACGTGAAGAACTTATCTATTGTCAAGAACCCTTTCTATAAATATGTATAGAACAGATCAGCACATTTTAAAACTTTAAAGTGAATGTGTCACCACTGACGTGTACTTATACATGTGTTTCAAGTCAATTTTAAGCAAAATTAATGAAACAGAAAAAAAAAATGTCATTGGTATTCATTTATTACACTGTGCTTTATATGCCTGCTAGTTCTAAAAGGATTACTGCCAGAGAGGAAAACTGCTGGGGAAGAAAACACTGAAGATCATTTATTTTTCTACTTCTAGCCCCTTCTCTCTGTCCTCCACGTCTCATTTCACACAATGTATGCTATCTGACCAGCCTTTTTCTGAGGTCTTTTAGATTCATAGAGTTTTGCTGATAATTTTCAACAGTTTGGGAATAGTTTCAGAAGTTTCAGAGATGAAACTAGGGCTAAAATAATGAAACTTTTCTTTCCAAGAAGAAAAGAATTCCAAAATCCTGAAATTACTATGCACTTCATAGAGGTATTAAACTTTACCAGAAAGAATGAAAAAAGAATGTTTGCTATAAAGAAATAATTAACAGAGTAAACAGACAACCTACAGAATGGGAGAAAATATTTGCAAACCATATACCCAACAAAAGACTAATATCCAGAATCTCTAAGAAACTTAAGCAAATCAACAAGAAAAAAACAAACAGCCCCATTAAAAAGTGGGTAAATAACACAAATAGACACTTCTCAAAAGAAGACATACACGTAGCCAACAAACATGAAAAAATGCTCAACATCACTAATCACTGGAGAAATGTACATTAAAACCACAATGAGATACCATCTGATATCAGACAGAATGGCTATCATTCAAAAGTCAAAAAATAACAGATGTTGGCAAGGATTTTGAGAAAAGAAAATATACATACACTGTTCATGGGAATGTAAATTAATACAGCCACTATGGAAAACAGTATGGAGATTTCTCAAAGAACTAACAATAGAACTACCATTTGACCCAGCAGTCTCCCTACTGGGTATCTACTCAAAGGAAAAGAAATAATTTTATCAAATGGCACCTGCACTAATTTGTTTATTGCAGCACTGTTCACAATAGCAAAGGCATGGAATCGACCTAAGTGTCTATCAATGGTAGACTGGATAAAGGAAACATGGTACATATACATCATGGAATGGTACGCAGCCATAAAAAAGAACATCATCATCTCCCTGGCAACAACACACATGCAGCTGGAGGCCATTATCCTAAGTGAATTAACGCAGAAACAGAAAGTCAAATACTGCATGTTTTCACTTACAAGCAGGAGCTAAACAATGGGTACACATGAACATAAAGATGAAAACAACAGACATTGGCGAGTCCAAAAGTGGGGAGGAAGGTTGAGAGGAAGGGTTGGAGAACCCTACTCCACCTCAAAATCTCCACCTACTGGGTACTATGCTCACTATTTGGCTAATAGATTCACTAGAAGCTCAAGCCCCAGCATTATGCAATATACCCCTGTTAACAAACCTGGACATGTCCTCCCGAATCTAAGACTGTTTACTATATTACTAAGGAATAAAGCATCCAATGCTCTTATTATAATATTTTTAGTGACCATGAAACCCTGAAACTATGAAAGTTTTAATAGAATGACTATCAGGAAAATGAAAAAAAAAATGCTTTTTTATCTGGTTGAAGAGCGTATTGAGCAACTCTAAAGGGACAATGTGCTTGTAGAAGGAGGATGAAAGAATGATGCTACTTCATATTTGTATAGAGCTTTAATTAATAAGTAAATTCAGGCATTATATAGGTCACCTTGACAATCACATGATCTGCCTCCTTGACAATCACATGATCTGCCTCCAAATCTTTCTTTATGAAAAGTCTTATATCTCTTTTAAGATCTTGAACCTCAACTGCATTTATAACACTGCTGAAAAATGGAGGAGAAAACAAACAGTCACTAACATTGCAGCAAATTAATGAAGGCAGGGCTTTGAAGGAAAGCTTTTACAAACGGCTTCTAAGTCTCCTGTGTACTGACGTGACAAACAAGCCTCAGTCAGGAAATAATTCCCCCAAATAATCCACGTACGTAGCTAAAAATGAGGATGGTCTCCAGCTTTCAAATAACAAACTGCTTGGTGGGAAGTTTATTGTATTTATTGTAGTGTGAGAGAATGGTAATTATCTAGGTTATATCATCCAAATAAGAAAACAAAAAAGAAGGAAAAATCCCCTATTAAAAATTTCTTCATTGCAGAATTGTTCCAGCCTGTGACATATTTATTTGTAGCTTGCTTGTTTGCTACAAATCCTTATTTTTGAAATGTGTAGATGGTCTTTGCACAGATAACTGGGAAAAAGAAGAAATGGTTCAATAGTTCATTACTTCCCTGAGCCTCGTCCTCCTTTACAAAAATACTAAGAAATGAATATGATGATAATGCATGAAGTAGAGCTATCTCATGAGCTGGTTTGAGTACTGTTAGCTCAAGGGCTTAAGAGGGAGGAAGACATAGGCTAAAGGCCGGTCTTGGGGCTTTGCTATACTTCATTCTACATTTATGCTTTCTCTGAACACTTCATTAACCACACTACTGGGATCTATTCTACTTTCCTAATGCTTGCTAGCTATCTAACCATGGGCATGTTACTTAATCTAAAGAAGCCAATTCTGTAAAGTGGGGATAATTGGTATCTAGCAGGTTTGTCGGAATTAAACGAGACGGCATACATATCAAAAGTATCTGGGACTTCTGCTTCCAGCCATAATGAAGTGCTTGATACAGCACTTACCATGCCATTGTGAATAACTAGAAAAAATGATATAATAGCTGAAACAACTGTTTGCAGACATTGGAGAACAGGCAGCCTTGGATAGTGATCCTTGAGAAAAAAGAATACAGAAGATGAGCCCTATGACCCCTGGGCTTTCTACCTAGAGGTACTTGTGGGACAGTTGACACAGAGCAAGGTACTGAAGGGGGAAGCCAAGACAGACTCGAGTTCAGGAAGTCTGAGGTGACTGATATTTGCTAGGCAGAATACCAAAGAGAAAGAAATATCAGATGAAAGGTTCAGAAATCTGAATAGGGGTCCCTTTGAGTCTTGAGTTGGACAGTAAGCTGCATATGCATATGCATAAATTCCAAAAGCCAAGCAAAGACAAAATATTAGGGAAAGAACAACTACCAACGAATTATAAGCCAAACAATTCCACAGTTCACACTGGGTTGGGAGACATTAATGAGTTCTGAACAGCCACAGTAGACACTTCATTGAATATTCAAGTACTGAGGTGCAAGAAAAGTCATGCCTTAGTAGTAGGGCTAAGTTAGCCAGAGTAAAAGCTACTCTAGGTATGCTTTAACAAAGCTTAAAAATAAGACTCATAAAAATCAAGCTGTTCTGCAACTTCACTGCCTGCCAAAACAAAACTCAACACTTAAAGAAGATAACAAAATTAAGACACTGAACAATGAAACATTTACAATATCCAACATCTTATCAAAAACAACCAGACATGTGAGGAAGTAAAATATATACAAAGGAACCCCATTAAAAAAAGAAACTGAAAATGAGAGAAATGATGAAATTAGCAGATGAACATTTTGAAACAACTATTATAAATGTGTTTAGGGATCTAAAGGACAGCGTGAACCTAAAAAGGTGAGAATAGAAGACATTTAAAAAGATTATCAAATGCAACTTTTGGCCCTGAAATATAATATCTTAAATGGAAATTTCACTGGACGGGATTAACAATGAATTAAGATACCATGGAAGAAAAGAAAAACACAAGGAGCTTTAAGATATATTAATAGAAATTATCCAAACTGAAGCACAGAAGGAAAAAAAAAGGTTAGGGGGAAAAAAAAAAGAACCAGGGCCTCATTAACCTGTGGTACACCAGTGAGTGATATAACATATGTGTAATTGGAGTCTCAGAGAGATGGGAGGTTAAGACAGAAAAAATAAAGAAATAACAGCAGATAGTACTTTAATTTGATAAAAACTACAAACCCATAGATTCAAGTGACATCTACAGTGGGAATGATCCTTGAACATTTGTTCTGAAAAGCACTTTTTTAGAAAAAGAATTATATTCAAAGTTTCTTGACACAACATAAAGTTAGATTAAGTATGGTGAGATTACATCACAGCACACAGAACGAAGTCTTATCTCTAGTAGTGTCCAGCCCAGTAGGAGGCAGCTGAGGTGTACAGAGGCTGGCTGTTGCCTATTTTGGTGGTCTATGATTATTTAATGCAGGTTTAAATGGCATAGTGAATAGACTCTAGTTTTTGCCCCTATTAATAAGCTTGGAGTAAAAGAGATGATTTTGCGTACTGTCTTCTTTGGGGCTTCAGAGTAGGAATACTTCCCTACTTTTCGTTCATTTTAGGAAATGCGACATTTTAAAAGGACAGAAGGATTCTTTGAATCCTTCTCAGGAAATATGCCCTGAAAGGTCAGACATGCCTCATAAAGTTGAACTACTTAAAGGAGAGTAGTTCAGTGAAAAAGAATCTTTCCCTGTTGAAGGTATTATATAATTCCAAAACTACATTAAGAGGCTGTTTGGTAATCCAGGCTCATCCCCCTCTAGCCTTTGCAGTTGTTGGGATAATTGGACAAACTGTGCACAAAGTGCTTATTTTGTGTATTCCACTGCCTTACTACATGTCATGTTGCTTAACGATACCCTAGCTATACATTTCTCACATCACCCTTCATCACAGATAACACACAATCTTATCAACTCCCAGTCTGACCATTCATTTATAGTATCACTGAGCTTATTACACATTCTCTTCCCAGATCCTTTCAATAACTGTTTGTGGTAGTGATAATTTATACAGCACAACAAATGGGGGCAACATGAATGAACTGTACCAGGTGAATATCAGAATAGCTGGATAAAAAGAGTTTAAGGACATACTGAAATTTAACATCTTTATGCAGTTGCAAGCAGAGTACAGAATGTTAAAATAATATTTAAGCAGCTAGGCTATTTATGGGTTTTAATAGTCTCTCTTGCATGTCGTTTCCAAGTTGGCAACAGCAAAACCATGGCAACAGGAAATTCTTCCCTGCAGTGGAGTTTATGAATGCTTTTCTGTTTTCATGACTCAACTCCTTATTTAATTTCCTGTACAGAAAATCAGAGAGATTACTATAGACTGCAATACAGATGTGCTAATCCCAAGACCCTCTCAAAGAAAAACAGGTCACAGGTGTCTATGGATGAATTTAAAGATAAAATTTAAAACTGCTTTCACACAGACACATAGCAAAAGTCAACACACTCTTTGATTAGTCCCAGCTAACCAAAATAGGCATTTGAGAATGTTAACTATTTTACTGACAACTTGGGGACTGGACATGGACAACCTTTTAGGTTCATGCACCATAGTTAAACAGATTGTTTCATTATCATGCTTTTAATCAACACATTTTATGAGCTAAACTAATACCAAAGCTAAAAAGCCTATTTTCTCAGAGATTAAGTAGACTGTGAATAATAATAATAGAAACAAAAACCCTAGATGTAAAAAGAATACAAAAAAACAAAAACAAAGGCTGACTACATAGATAAACATGAAGACTATGAAATGAATTAATGGAAGTCAAAAATTCCAGGCTTACACTCAGACAGTTGTAAGTTTCCGGAGTTTTTAATCACCCTAACATTTGGCTAAATGTAATGAAATTTACACAATGCTCACCCAGGAGCAATTCTGCACGATCTGTGTCACTGCCCCACTCCATGCACACACCTCTGACAACACTATTTTTTTAGAGTCTAATTCTAGCTACTTTGGTTATGATCTTCAACTGTTCTGGTGCTACATCCTCCCTCTCTGGCTTTCTCTCCCCCATCACCAGCAGTGTTCTGCGATAAATGGCAATGTTGCTTTACGGATAATTTAGCAGATGCACAACAGCACAACAGGGGGAAAATAAGCCTAGTAGGAGGGTGTAAGTATTTCTTACTTTTGGTATCAAGCTGTGCTCGATACTTCTCAAATCCTTTGAGCCGAACTCGCTCTCCCAATAGTTGAAGAAATTCTTCAAAGGCTGGGCCAGCTGACTCATTGTTGTACATCTCTTCTTCAGTGCTCTGTCCAGCTTTGCAGTACATGATGCCTACTTTCTGCTGGTAGTTCAGCTGTGAAGGCAGGTAATACGATGCATATAAATATAGGCAGATCCACTTTGTCCCAGTCAAATGCTAAAAGGTCCTATAGGGCACATGCCCAGAAAATAGCTAACACCTTTCTTCTCTTGAAATCCTTCTGTATTTTCCGTCTTTGATCCAAAATTAAGTGGAGCAAGTATCTACGAACTTCATGAACTGAGAAAAGGCCAGAAAAATAAATGAAAATTTCCTGTATGTAAAGATCATGCACCATTAAACAGATCTGTTGGTACTATAGGAAATTTCTGTTAATCAATTACAAAGTACAAAATGAGGTTATTAAAAAATCCTGGTAACTAAAGGCAATTCTTTTTTTATGGTGTCCCCCCTTTTAAAAGGGAGGTCTTTACAAATTTAAAAGCAGAGGTCTACTTTATAAAACATATTTTAAAATAAACTGTTTTGCACTAAAAGGTCCACTAATATTTTTGCAGTTTTTTTTTTGTAAAATTAGAAAAGACTTATCTCCCAATACCCTTTTCCCAATATATTAAATTATAAACCTTGCCTATATCTTTGTTACAGCACTACTATCATCAATACTGTACTTAGAGCAACTTCTCTTTCAAATAGTTTTCCAAAGGATGAGTGTCTGCAGAGAAACTTTAAAAGAGGCCTCACAATGGCAAATCAGCTAATGGCAAATATTTCTTCCTCAAATGCAGTTAAAATGAAGGATTAAGAGATTTACTTATAACATTAATCAAAACATTTATTCATCATTGAAAAGTCCAGTCATTTTGCAAAGAAATTTTAAGGTGTTACTGATCATTTAACAAGCAATGAGTTTTCAACATAAAAATGTGTACTTTGGGCTGGGCACAGTGGCTAATGCCTGTAATCCCAGCACTTTGGGAGGCTGAGGGGGGCAGATCACTTGAACCTAGGAGTTCCAGACAAGCCTGGGCAACATGGCAAAACCCTGTCTCTACAAAATGTACAAAAATTAGCCAGGTGTGGTGGTGCACACTTGTAGTCCCAGCTACTCGGGAGGTTGAGGTTCGAGGATCATTTGAGCCCGGGAGATTGATGTTGCAGTGAGTCATGACTGTACCACATACTCCAGCCTGGGCAACAGAGCAAAACTCTGTCTCAAAAAAAAAAAAAAAAAAAAATTGGACTTTGAATTCTCCAATGACATTGGGACAATTCTTATCACTTAATCCTATTTCCAGAGTGTCATTACAACCACCACATCAGTAAGGTTTTATCTAATAAAAGGGGGAAGAGAAGAGGTGAAATTTTAATAGCTAACATTTATTGAATACCTATCATATGCCAGGCACTACGTGCAGTGTTTAACATACATTAAATTCTTACTCTCACAATAGCCCACAAGGCAAATATTACCCCTGTTTGACAGATGAGCAAAGAGATCAGAGAATGCAAGAGAGAGGAACTAGTACAGTAGGGAGAGACACAAGATCATAAAGAGTCAGTTCTGTGACTCAGCTCCATTAACTATCACCAGAACTCAACCAGGTTTGTCTTTGGACAACCGCTGCAACATATGTCTACAACTTCTTATTTGCAATTCTGAAGTTGAAAGGTAGAAAGCAAATTTAGGCAAACATATTTGGCAGCAAAACTTGACATGGGGCTGACATTAGTACTTTTAATTTATTCATCTTTGTGTGAATATTCATGTTTCCCCTGCATAATTGATTGTGGGGTACTGCCCCAGATCTCACTGGGAATATTACTATATGGGTCATACATTTTATTATCCCTCTAAAATCTGAAAATTCCTCAATTCTGAAACACAGCCAGCCCTGCCACTTTATATTAAGGGACTACGAACCTGAACTACCATTTTCAGCTTTCCAAATCAAATGGTTCAAATCGTGATAACGGAAAATGTCACAGGGGAGAAAACAAATGAACAAACAAAAAAACACCTTTGCTTGCTTTGTCTCCCTCCCCTGCACCCTGCTTAGCTGACAAGAAAGCTCAACAGCCTTTGCATTGTGCATAGACAGGAGGGTTCCTGGATATATATATATATTTTTGAGATGGAGTTTCGCTTCGCTCTTGTTGACCAGGCGGGATTGCAATGGCGCAATCTTGGCTCACTGCAACCTCCGCCTCTGGAGTTGAAGCGATTCTCCCTCCTCAGCCTCCCAAGTAGCTGGTATTACAGGCATGCGCCACCAGGCCTGGCTAATTTTTGTATTTTTAGTAGAGATGGGGTTTCACCATGTTGGTCAGGCTGGTCTTGAACTCCTGACCTCAGGTGATCCACCTGCCTCGGCCTCCCAAAGTGCTGGGATTACAGGCATGAGCCACTGTGCCTGTCCTGGAATATTTTTAAAACAGCATACAATCTGACCTACTGCTACCTTGATTATGAACAGGCACACATTCGGGACTTAGTTCATTTTTGTATAGCACACATAAGAAAAAAAAATCAGGGTAAAACTTGCTGCACACTACTGACATTTAACCCCTTTCTTAGCGGGCCTGCTTCTAATGGCTGAATGTGGCTAATGCTTAGAAGGGAACGCTCCCACAGGTAAAGGTTTCATCTTGGCTTTAGAATTGAGCTAAGTACCCTATTAGGTCTCAACAAATAAAAAGGGAGAGATAGTCTCGATGTCTATTACAAAAGAAGTCCTTAATACAGCCAGATTCCAGGGCTGAACATTACCTGACTCTCTCCCTCCAGGGAGAACAAAAAGATCAAGCAATCTGTAGACAGGAAGGGGCTTTAAGTTACATGCTGTCTGGCTATGCCTTCCAGAACAGCCTTCGCTTGCAACAGGGTAAAACAAAACTCACCCTGACTAATGGAAAGCATTACAGCGACACTGAATTTGTGGGTGCCTATTTAAAACTTCATAGATAGAGGCCTAAGATTTCACTGTGCAACACTCAAAAGGATTAATTTATTTAGATTCATTTATTAAAAAAAAAAAAGTTTCCTGCAGAAAGAAGATAAGAAAACATCCCCCAAAGTAGTGGACAAGCAGAATTCAAGGACAGGACAATGTGCCTCTTTTGACTGAATTCTATACCCTAGTGAGCTCCACCTGCTGACAGAACAAACCGGTTTTGCCAGTTGTGAAAGGAATGATCCTTTAAGAGGATTAGGAAATTCCTTACAATGTCAAGTTTCCTCTGGTTTGAAACTGTGTCAAATATCACTTGCTGTATCCTCAAAGGTGACAATGTGACTGTATCTTGATTTCTACTCCAATTAGATCAAAGGTAGGTAGCATTCTCCGAACTCAGGCTCCTAGAATCCTTAGCAGCCATGCTCCCAGATAGAATGAGATGTTGACAAGCAGAAGTTAAGTAAATGTAATCAGGAACATTCTAAGAGAAGGAGCTAATGTACATGGAGTTGTAAAGCCATGATGTGGGGATTTTGGATTGCTTTGAGGTTATATAAAACAGTATTTATTGTCTCAGAAACACACAAACATACCTACGTGGGCTTATGGATCTACATATACAATACTTTAAGGTAATGATCAAAATAGAGTTATGATGACACCAGAAGCCCTCCTATCCACAGTTTAGCATTTTGCTTTGGATAACCTCTGGGTCATTTAGCAATGGTACCATAATTCATGCCTGCAGATCAGCTGTTCATATGAAGCACTGAGGGAAGTGCTGGGCACTCAATAAATGTTTGTACATACAAAAGTGATGGTGGTCAGTCCAATGGGACAAGGGCTATATTTGAGATGAAGGTCTTAAATCTCAACAAAGTAAAGGGGTCTTTCAACACTTACTAAAAGTGTTGTGAGCTTCCACAGCTGGGAAACAACAGTACATAAATTTGCTCTTCCTCTCATACAATAGGCACTTTAACACAGAGTTAAGAAACAGACACTGCAGGCTCACGCCTGTAATCCCAGCACTTTGGGAGGCCGAGGCGGGTGGCTCATGAGGTCAGGAGATTGAGAGCATCCTGACTAACACGGTGAAACCCCGTCTCTACTAAAAATACAAAAAATTAGCCGGGCGTGGTGGCGGGCACCTGTAGTCCCAGCTACTCGGGAGGCTGAGGCAGGAGAATGGCGTGAACCCGGGAGGCTGAGCTTGCAGTGAGCCGAGATAGCGCCACTGCACTCCAGCCTGGGAGACGGAGCAAGACTCCGTCTCAAAAAAAAAAAAAAAAGTAGAAAGAAAGAAACAGACAGTGCAATCTGACTTAAACAGCCATAACTTCCTGGAAAGATGGACGATAAAGTCACAGCCCTGTACCAGAAGAAAGAGATGTGAATAACCAAGTTCTCAGTCTTCTTCAGAAGTTTTGCATTTTACCTCATCTTCCCTGGTATCATGGCCAGAAAGCGGCCACTGGGGTAGAACAAACGATGAGAACAACTCAATTCTTACATTCTTATGAAACCTCTACTATTGCCTAATTAAATTTAGAAATTTAAAATAGTCACTATGAGGTATTTCATTGTGCAACAGTTCTTGAAGTGTGGACTGTGAACTCTTGAGCATCTCTGAGAACCTTCTTGTGGGGAGTGATGGATCATGACATCAAAACTATCTTCAAAACACTATTAAGAGTCAATCTGGTATTTTCCACGGACATATGCACTCATGGTGAGTCAAACTGCTGGCACTTTTGCATGAATCAAGCAGTGGCTCCAAACTATACCAGCACTCCTTGCATTCTTTTTCTCCGCTATACACTCACCCCTTCCCCAAATAAAAACCCAGTTAAGAATGTCCTTGATGAAGCAGTAAAATATTAACTTGTATTAAATCTAGACACTTGAGTATATGCTTTTTAATATTCCATGTGATGAAATGCAGCGTATATATAAAGCATCTGTTGCCTACTAAAGTGCTTTATGATAGCTTTCTCAAGGAAAAGCACTTGTTCAACTGAGTTGCAAGATGAACTTTGTGTCTTTTTCATAGAAGACTGGCAGGCAGAGTAATTTCTCCTCAAACCCACCTACTTCCTAATCCCTAGATCCTGTGAATACGTAATGTTAATGGTAAAGGGGAGCATAGATTATAGAAGGACTTAAGATTGCCAATTAACAGATGGGGAGAGTAGCCAGGATTATCCAGATGGGCCCAATAACTGAAAGGTCCTTAAAAGTGGAAGAGGAAGACAAGATGATCATCAGAAAAAGACAACGGAGACAAAAGAGAAAAGACAATGGAGGCAGGGTCAAAGGGAGGCAACACTGCTGGCTTTGGAGATGGAGGAAGGGCCATGAGCCAAGGTGCACGGGCAGCCACCAGAAGTTGAAAAGGCCAAACACAGATTCACCCTTAGAGCCCCCGGAAAGGACACAGTTTGATTTTAGCCCAGTGACACCAATATTTAATTTTTAACTTACAGAACTGTAAAATAACAAATCTATGTTGTTTTAAGGCACTGAGTAGGAGTAATTTGTTACAGCAGCAATAAAAACCTAACTAAAATCACTATTTTCATATGAAAGAACAAACAAGAGACAAACTATAGTCATTCAGGCTTGTGTATTTGGGAGATATTGTCTTGAAAATATAAAGGGGAGCCTGTTACTTCAGGAAAAACAACTCACAGTATTTCCTGACATAATAGAATTTAAGCTCTAAAGCAAAATTTAAATTTTTGGAAACTTACACCTATCACCATGAGCCTAAGGGTTTCCCAACACTTAACTCTTTTTCTAATAAGATCAATGGAATATTTTCATTATTGTAAACTAAACAAACACTTATAAAATCTCCATAAGAGAACCAATTTTTCCAAATGACTGCTGTATGAAATTACAAAATCATGCATGAATAAAAGATTCATTCAAGGCCAGGCATGGTGGTTCATGCCTGTAATCCTAGCACTTTGGGAGGCCAAGGTGGGAGGATCACTTGAGGCCAGGAGTTCAAGACCAGCCAGAGCAACACAGTGAGACCCTGTCTCTGTAAAATTAAAAAATCAGGTGGGTATGGTGGCATGGGCTTGCAGTCCCAGGATTTGGAAGCTAAGGTGGGAGGATGGCTTAAGCCCAAGAGGGCAAGGCTATAGTGAGCCATGATTACATGATTGTGCCACTGCACTCCAGCCTGGGCAATAGAGTGCAACCCTGTCTCAAAAAAAATTAAAGAAAAAGGAAAAGAAAGATTCATTCAAAGTGCATGAAAGTCAATGAATTTTTCATTTAACAGAATGATTTCAGATTAACTCATGATTTCAGATTCCACATAGCTATCAACCTTTAAGAAACTACCATTTGTTGGCCAGGCATGGTGGCTCACGCCTGTCATCCCAGCACTTTGGGAGGCCGAGGTGTGCAAATCACAAGGTCAGGAGTTTGAGACCAGCCTGACTAACATGGTGAAATCCCGTCTCTACTAAAAATACAAAATTTAGCTGGGCGTGGTGGTGGGCGCCTGTAATCCCAGCTACTTAGGAGGCTGAGGCATGAGAATTGCTTGAACCTGGGAGGCAGAGGTTGCAGTGAGCCAAGATCGTGCCACTGCACTCCAGCCTGGGCGACAGAGTGAGACTCCATTTCAAAAGAAAAAAACACACACACAAAAACTACCACTTGTTGAGTTTTGGTGTTATATCAAAGGAAAATATCCACAATTATCTGAAAAGGCCGTATGAAAGTCCTTCTTTCTCCAAGTACATAAACTCTGTGAGGACAGATTTTCTTCATTTACTCCAACCAAAACAACATATTGCAGCAGACTGACAGCAGATGCACATATGTGAGTCCAAGTGCCTTCTATTAAGCCAGACATTAAAGAGATCTGCAAAAACGATACTTTCTTTGCACTAGTTTTTCATTTTAGAAAACTTTTTTCACAAACATGTTACTTATATTAACATGTAAAATGTAATCATTTTATTTAAAAATAACATTTTAAAATTTGTTTTGATTGTAATGTGGTAAACACACAAAAAAGTCTTATGAACAAAAGCTCTTTGGGATCTTTAACTTTTAAAAGGGTGAAGGGACTCTGAGACGTAAACATCTGAGAACTGTATTGCTATGCTTTCTTCTGGATTTCTCTAACGACTAAAAAAGTCATCTAACTTTTCCTATGTTCATTGTTTATTTTGATAACCTTTCTTCTGAAAATCAAGATTTTTCCCTTTGGCTGCTGTTAGGAGTTTCTCTGTATCACGGGTTTGAAACAATTTGATTATGATATCTGTTGGTGTCATTTTCTGCATGCTTCTTATTCTTAGGGCTCATTGAGTTTCTTGGGTCTGCTTGCATCATATGTGGAAAATCTGGAACTATTTCCTCAACTACTTTTTCAGGTAGTTCCTAACTCCTCTGGGGTCTCCAATTATATGAATATTAGGTCAGGTGAAGTTGTCTCACAGTATATTGATGTTGGGTTTTTTGTTTTTTTTTTTTTGGCAATTGTTTCTATTGCTATGTCATCAAGTTCACTAATCCTTTCTTCGACAATGTCTAATCTGCTGTTAATTCTGTCCAGTGTACTTTTCAACTCAGATATTGTAGCTTTCATATCCATAAATACAAAGCTTTTCTTTTTCCAGATTTCTACTTAATGTTCAATCTTTCCTCCTGCTTCTTAAACATTAAAAAGACATCAGAGTCATTTTTGTGGTTTTAATTGTTTAATTATTTTATCCCCTCCCCAACTATAGGTCATATGCTCCTGCTTGTAGTTTTTAATTAAATGATTGACTGTCAGACATTATGAATATTACCTTGTTGGGTGCTGGATATTGTTGTATTCCTATAAAGTATTTTTGACTTTGTTCTGGATTCATAGTTAAATTACTTGGCAAGAGTTTGAGCCTTGTAGTTCTTGCTTTTAAACTCTTGGTTGTACGACAGCAGTGTTTAGTCTAAGGATAATTCTGCCCCACTATTGAGGCAAAAGCATTGTGAGGCTCTACTCAATGCCATGTCAATTATGAAGTTTTCCAGTCTGGTTTGTAGGAGTTGAAACTATTCGCACCAGAGGTAGACTGTTTACGGCTCTCTCCTCCCTGATTCTCTGTGCTCTGCGAATTCTAGCCTCCCTGGACTCACATCTCAATCTCAATCAGGGAGGCTTCTGGCCTTTAACTGGGTACCCCCTGCCTGTACTGTAGCCTGGAAACTCTCTTCAGGCAGAAAGCTGGTGCAATCTTAGGGTTCACCTCATTTGTTTCCCATCTCCCAAGCAATCAATGTCCTTCAATGCCTGATGTCCAACATTATAAAAACCATTGTTTCATTGTTTTGTCTAGTTTTTAAGTTGTTTCAGGTGGAAAGTTAAATGCAGTCCCTCTTACTTAATCTTAGCAAGAAGCAGAAATTTGCCTTCAGTTTTTAAATCAACTTTATTGATGTATGATTTCTGAAGAGTAAATGCAAGGCGTATAATTTAATAACTTCTGACAAACCCCCAACACAATCAAAATACAGAACACTGCCATTACCCCAATAGCTCCTGGTTCCTCTTTGCAGTCCATCCCTGCATCATCTAACAGCTTCAGGCAACCACTGTACTAATTTTGTTTTTTTTACTATAAATTAGTTTTGCCTACATTTTAAAGAAAATTTTTGGTGTAAAATCCATTGTGAGGGTTACTCTTTCAGCACTTTAGAAATGTCTTCTGCCTTCTACTTTTTTTGTTTGTTTTTGAGACGGAGTCTCGCTCTATCACCCAGGCTGGAGTGCAGTGGCTCCATCTCGGCTCACTGCAAGCTCCGCCTCCCAGGTTCACACCATTCTCCTGCCTCAGCCTCCAGAGTAGCTGGTACTACAGGAACCTGCCACCACACCCAGCTAATTTTTTTGTGTTTTTAGTAGAGATGGGGCTTCACTGTATTAGCCAGGATGGTCTCGATCTCCTGACCTCGTGATCTGCCCGCCTCGGCCTCCCAAAGTGCTGGGATTACAGGCATGAGCCACCACGCCCGGCCTCTACTTTTTCTTTAGGCTTTATAGCCCAGCAAATGTTTAACAGTCTTGTTGTTCTTTAAAGGTATTTTTCCATCTGGCTATTTTTAAAGATTTTTCTCTTTTTCTTTTATTTTCAGCAATTTTTACTATGAGCCTATATTTGATTTTTTTTTTTTTTTTAGATTATCTTGTTTAGGGTGGACAGAACTCCTTGTTTTTATCTTAATGCTTGTCTTTCATCAGTTCTGGAAATCTCTACCAGCATTTCCTCAAATACTGCTTTTATTCCCAAATAATGCATAAATATCTTCTCTTCTGGAAATTCAATCATATATATATTTTGCTGTTACCCACATGCCTTTCAGACATTTTTCTGTATTTTTCTATGTTTTCTTGTCTCCGTTCTTTAGTTAAAATTTTTCTGGTAATCTGTCTTCATCAGTTCTCTCTCCTACTGTGTCCAGTATGTTCTTAAACATATCTACTTTTAAATGAGTCTAACTTTAGGGGTTTTTTAGTTTTAGAGTTTCAATATAGGCTGGGTGTGGTGGCTCATGCCTGTAATCCCAGCACTTTGGAAGGCCAAGGCAGGTGGATCACTTGAGGTCAGGAGTTCGAGACCAGCTTGGCCAACACAGTGAAACCCCGTTTCTACTAAAAATACAAAAGTTAGCCGGGCGTAGGGGCACACACTTGTAATCCCAGCTCTGCGGGAGGCTGAGGCACAAGAATCACTTAAACTCAGGAGGCGGAGGTTGCAGTGAGCCAAGACTGCACCACTGCACTCCAGCCTGGGCAATAGTGTGAGACTCCGTCTCAAAGAAGAAGAAAAAAAATGAATTTCAATATAATTGTTTTACAGATTTGAGTTCTCTAGTAAGCCTTGAATTCAATTTGTAACCTCCAAAGCCCTATACAAGCTCTGATTTGATCTGATCACTGAAAGCTCTGATCTGTCTCCTAACTTTTTATCTGCTGCTTTATGCTAGATGGAAAAGCCCCAAGATTCTTAACCTATCAGCAAATGTCTAAGAGAAAAAGCACTGTAAGATATTGTTAATCTTGATAGACTACAATTTCTCAAATTTTTTTTTTCTTTCTAGATCAAGCTCTTGGTGCCACATCTAAGAATTCTTAACCAAGCTGAAGGTCCCAAAGATTTTCTCCTATGTTTTTCTCAAAAAAATTTAATACTTGTAGATTTCAATCTATGATCCATTTGAATTAATTGTTGATGCTTAAAAGTCAAGGTTTAGGCCGGGGGCCTGGTGGCTCACACCTGTAATCCCAGCACTTTGGGAGGCTGAGGTGGGCAGATCACTTGAGATCAGGAGTTTGAGACCAGCTTGGCCAACATGGTGAAACCCCGTCTCTACTAAAAATACAAAAATTAGCCGGGTGTGGTGGTATGCACCTGTAATTCCAGCTACTCGGGAGACTGAGGCACGAGAATTGCTTGAATCTGGGAGGCGGAGGTTGCAGTAAGCCAAGATCATGCCACTGCACTCCAGCCTGGGCAACAGAGCAAGACTCAGTCTCAAAAAAACAAAAAAACAAAAAAACCCAAAAAGTCAAGGTTCATTATTTTGTTTATGGATGTCCAGTTGTCCCAGTACTGTTGGAAAAGCCTATCCTTCCTCCACTGAATTACTTTTACACCTATGCCAAAAATGAGCTAGATATATTTGTGTGGGGCTATTTCTGGTTTCTCTATTCTGTTCCACCGATCCACATGTCTATCTTTCCAGCAATGCCACACAGTCTTGACTACTGGAGCTATATAACATGTCTTGAAATCAGACAGAATAACTTCTCCCACATTAATTCCTCTTTCTCAGATTGTTTTAGGTATTCCAGTTCCTTTGTTTTTTCATGTAAACTTTAGAATAATCTTGTCTATAACCACAAAAAAACCTTGGCGGAATTTTGATAAAAATTAAGAAGTTAAACTTTGTATCAGTTTGGAGAACACTGACATGATTAATATATGTTAACGCTCTCAATTTGTGAATATAGTATGCCTCTCCATTTATTTAGGTCTTTGGTTTCTTAGAGACAGGACTTAATCTGTCACCCAGGCTAGAGTGTAGCAGGATGATCATAGCTCATGGCAGCCTTGAAATCCTGGGCTCAAGCGATCCTCCTGCCTTAGCCTCCTGAGTAGTTGGAGCTACAAATGCACACCACCATGCCTGGTTAAATTTTTAAAATTTTTTTGCAGAAACAGGATCTCACTATGTTGCCCAGGCTGGCCTTGAACTATTGGATTCAAGCAATCCTCCTTCCTTGGCCTCTCAAAACGCTAGGATTACAGAAGTGAGCCATCATGCCCAACATTAGGGTTTTGATTCGTTCATCAGGGTTTTGTAGTTTTCAAAATACAAGTCCTATTCATGTTTTGTTAGATGCATGCCCAAGCTTTTGTTTATGTTTTTAGATGACATCTCACTGTGTTGCCTGGGCTTGTCTTGAACTCCTAGGTTCAAGTGATCTTTCTGCTTCCTGACTATCTGGGATTATAGGCACAGGCTATCATGTTTGGCTCCAAGTTTTGTTTGTTTGTTTAGGGATTGCAAATGGTGTATTTTAATTTCAGTGTCCACATATTCACTGAAAGAAATCTAACTGATTTTTGTAAGTTGATGTTGAATCATACAAGCTTGCTAAACACATTTTGCAGTTCCAGGTTGTTTATCTATAGATTCCTTAGGGTTTTGCAAACAGACCAGCATGTCATCTGAAATAGGGAGTTTTATTTTTCCACTGCTGCGTCTACATGCCTTTTCTTTTACTTGCCTTACTGCACTGACTAGAACTTCTTGTACTATGTTGAATAGCAGTGTTAACAGCACATATCCTTCCCTTTCTCCAGTCTCTTACCATTAAGAATAATGCAAGCTATAGAAGTTTTGTAGATGTTCTTCATCAAGCTGAGAAAGTTCCTCTGTATTACTAGTTTTTATCATAAATAAGTTCAAATTTTATCAAATGCTTTTTCTGCACCAATTGATATTACCACGTGATTTTTCTTCTTTAGTCTGTTAGTACGATGGGCTACATTAATTGATTTTTCAATACTGAATCAGCCTTGCATCTCTAGAATAAATCCAACTAGGTCATGGTCTACAAAATTTTTTTCTACTTTATTATATTTGCTAATTTTTTTTTCAAGGAATTTTACATGTATATTCATGAGGGATGTGGTCAGTAGTTTTCTTTTTTCCTACCTTTGTCTGGCTTTGGTATTAGGGCTTCATAAAGTTAAATTTAAAATGTTTCTTATCTTGTATTTTCTGGAAGCAATTGTGCAGAACTGGTGATAATTCTTTAAATGTTAGGTAGACTTCCCAGGAAAACCATCTGGCCCAGTAGATTTCATTTTTGGAGTTTTAAAATTATGAATTCAATTTTTTTCAATAATCATAGGGCTATTCAAATATTCTGTTTCAGTTAGCTGAGTTGTGACTGTTTTCTGAGGAGTTCTCCCATTTCATCTTGTCAAAATTGTATGTATTCAGCTGTATACAGTATTTCTTTAATACATTGTTGCTATTGGGGGCGTTGGTGGTAATATCTAATTTCATTCCTGATAGAGTAGTACCCCTGTATTCATGAGGGATATGTTCCAAGACCTTCAGTGGATGCCTGAAACCATGGATAGTACCGAACCCTATATAACTATATACCATGTTTTTCCCTCTACCTAAAAATCTATGATAAAGTTCTTATTTTTTTTTTTTTAAGAGTCTCACTCTGTCAACCAGGCTGGAGTACAGTGGCTTGACCATGGTTCACTGAAGCCTCCAACTTCTGGACTTAATTGATCCTCCTGATTCAGCCTCTTAACTACAGACATGAGCCACCAAGCCTGGATACTTTTTTTTTAAATTTTTTGTAGAGACAGTGTCTCACTATGTTGCCCAGGCTAATGCTGACCTTCTGGCCTCAAATGATCCTCCCACCTCAGCCTCCTGAGTTGCTGAGATTATAGGTGTGTCACTGCGCCCAACTCGATAAAGTTTAATTTATAAATCAGACATAGTAAGAAATTAACAACTAGTTATAAAATAGAACGATTATGACAATACAATGTAATAAAAGTTAAGTGAATGTACAATGTACTCTCTCTCTCTCAAAATATCTTATTGTATTGTACTCTCCTATTTTTAGAGCACAGTTGACTGCAGAAAGCGAAACCATGAATACTGAGGGACTACCGTGTTGACAAGATTTGTATTGTCTGTTTTTCTTTGTCAGTCTTGTTAGAGGATTTTCAATTTTATCATCTTTTCAAAGATCTAGCGTGTGTGTGTGTGTGTGCACGCGTGCACACACAGGATCTGGGTTTTATGAAAAAAAAAAAATTTTTTTTTAAACCCCAAAGATGTAGCTGTTTTTTTTTTTTTTTTAAAGATGGAGTCTCATTCTGTCACTCAGGCTGGAGTGCAGTGGCGCCATCTCAGCTCACTGCGACCCCTGCCTCCCGGGTTCAAATAATTCTCCTGCCTCAGCCTCTTGAGTAGCTGAGATTACAGGCATGCACCACCATGCCCGGCTAATTTTTGTATGTTTAGTAGAGTCGTGGTTTCACCATGTTGGCCAGGCTGGTCTCAAGTGATCCACTCACCTGATCGCAAGTGATCTGCCCACCTCGGCCTCCCAAAGTGTTGGGATTATAGGCGTGAGCCACCTCGCCTGGCCAGATCTAGCCTTTCATTTCATTAATTTCCTCAAATGTTTTTCTATTTTTAATTTCATTGATTTCTGATCTATACCATTTCCTTCTTTCTAGTTGCTTTGGATTTATTTTGCTCTTCTCTTTCTAGTCATATAAGGTTATGAGCTTAGATTACTGGTTTGAGATGTTTTGTCTTTTCTAACGCAGCATTTCATACTGTCAATTTCCCCCTCAGCCTGCTTTAATTGCATCCCACAAAGTTTCATATGTTGTCTTTTCCTTTCCATTCAGTTTACATACATTTTTTCATTTCCCTTGAAGTGTTTTCTTTGACCTACTGGTTACTTAGAAATCTGTTTTTTTAGTTTCCAAGTGCTTAGAGATTTTTCCATTATGTTTCTGTTATTTCTAGTTTGATTCCAGTTTGATTAGAAAATATACTTTTTGTTATTTCACTTCTTTTAAATTTGAGGATGTTTATTTCATGGGACAGGATGTCTATCTTGGCATACATTCCATGTGCAACTGAAAAGAACATGTATTCTGCTGTTGTGAGTAAAGTGCTTTATGTCAATTAGATCCTATTGGTTGATGTTGTGAAGTTCTATGTCTTTGCTGATTTTCTGTCTAGTTTTCCTTTCCATTGTTGAAGGAGAGATGTTAAAATCACCAACTATAATTGTGTATTTACCTATTTCTCCTTTTAGTTTCATCAGTTTTTTTCCTTCACATTTACAGCTCTGTTTGATGCACATATACCTAGGATTGCTGTCTTCTTGGTGGATTGACCTCTTCATCATTATGCAATGATCCTCTCTGTCTCTGTTAACTTTCTTTGCTCTGAAGTTTACTTTACCTGACATTACTAAGCCCTATAGCTTTCCTTTGATTCATGTTTGCATGGTCTTTTTCCATTCTTTCCTTTCAACTACTTATATTTCAAGTAACTCTATAGTTTATATAATTAGATAATGCTTTTTAAAATCCAGTCTACCAATCTCTGTCCTTTAATTGGTATATTTAGATCTTTTGCTTTTAATGAACTAATTTCTGCATTAGAGTTTAAGTCTGTCATTTTATCTTTCATTTATTTTATCTTTCTGAGAATTACTTGAGTGCTCTTTAGAATTCTTTTCTGATTTATCTATAGGGCTTTTGAATGTATCTCTTAGAACTTAAGTATTATTAGTGATTGCTCTATGTATTACTATATATATCTTTATCTATGTAGTTGATATCTACATGCACCGTTTTACCAATTGAAGCGAAGTGTAGAAACTTTACCTCTCTTTAGTCTCTTTACTCTCTGCCATTTATAAAACACTTACATTAAAAAATTCTTGTACATATGTTTGAAAAGCACATTTGACATTGTTATAGCATTTGCTTCAAATGGCAAAATAATTTAGAAAACTCATTAAGAAAAGTATTTACCCATATTTTTACTCTTTCCTTCTCTCTGAAGTTCCAAGATCCCTTTTTTTCTGTTTGTTTGTTTGTTTTGAGATGGAGTTTCGCTTTTGTTGCCCAGGCTGGAGTGCAATGGCGTGATCTCAGCTTACTGCAATGTCCACCTCCTGGGTTCAAGTGATTATCTTGCCTCAGCCTCCCGAGTACCTGGGATTATAGGCACCCACCATCACACCTGGCTAATTTTTTGTATTTTTAGTAGAGACGGGGTTTCACCATGTTAGGCAGGCTGGTCTCGAACTCCTGATGTCAGGTGACCCACCCGCCTCGGCCTCTCAAAGTGCTGGGATTACAGGTGTGAGCCACCGTGCCCTCCCAAGATCCATTCTTTTATCACTTCCTTTCTGTTTAGATAACTTAGCTATTTTTTTTTTTTTGAGACGGAGTCTCACTCTGTTGCCCAGGCTGGAGTGCAGTGGCACGATCTCTGCTCACTGCAAGCTCCGCCTCCCAGGTACCCACCATTCTCCTGCCTCAGCCTCCTGAGTAGCTGGGACTACAGGCTCCTGCCACCACGCCTGGCTAATTTTTTGTATTTTTAGTAGAGATGGGGTTTCACCATGTTAGCCAGGATGGTCTTGATCTCCTGACCTTGTGATCCACCCTCCTAAGCCTCCCAAAGTGCTGGGATTACAGACGTGAGCCACCGCGCCCGGCCAACTTAGCTACTTTTTAAGGGTAGGTTTCCTGGTAACAAGTTCTCTTAATTTTCCTTTATCTGAGAATGTCTCAATTTCATTCCTGAAGGATATTCTCCCTGAACACAGAATTCTGGGTTGACAGTTCTTTTCTTCCATCTCCTGAAAAATTATCATGCCACTTCCTTCTGGCCTCCATGATTTCTGATAAAAAAAAAAAATCTGTGATTCAAATTGTTCTTCCCTTATAGGTGGGTTTTTTTTTTTTTTTTGAAATGGAGTTTTGTTCTTGTCACCCAGGCTGGAGTGCAGTGGCGTGATCTTGGCTCACTACAACCTCCGTCTCCTGGGTTCAAGCAATTCTCCTGCCTCAGCCTCCCGAGTAGCTGGGATTACAGGTGCCCGCCACCATGCCCAGCTGATTTTTTGTATTTTTAGTAGACACAGGGTTTCGCCATGTTGGGCAGTCTGGTCTCAAACTCCCAACCTCAGGTGATCCACCTGCCTCTGCCTCCCAAAGTGCTGGGATTACAGGCATGAGCCACCGTGCCCAGCCGTTCTTCCCTTATAGGTAACATGTCATTTATCTTTTGCTTCTTTCAAGTTTTTTTTTTTTTTGTATTTAGTGTTCAAAAATTTTACTATGATGTCTCTTGCTGTGGACTTCTTTGGATTTATACTGTTTGGGATTTGCTCAGTTTCTGTCATGTGTGGGTTTACACCTTTGACCAAATTTGGGAAACTTCTTACCAAATATTTCTTTGAATACTTTTTCAAGGCCTGCCATCTTTCTCCTCTTCTTCCAAGACACAATTGTTAAATATTTTATTATAGCCCCACAAACCGTGAAGCTCTGTTCATTTGTTTCCCCCAGTCTACTCTTTGTTGCTCAGATTTGGTGATTCCTATTTGTTTTATCTTCAAGTTCACTGATTTTTTCCTCTGTCCCTTCCATTTTGTCTCTGGGGACAGGGGCTTCTAGGGTGTCTAGCCCATTGAAGTACCTTACATTTCAGAATTTATAATTTTTGGTAGACTGCTAATGGCCCATATTCAGGGTCCACTAGCATCCTAAAAACCTATCTACTGAGTTTTACATTTTGACTGTTCTATTTTTCAGTTCTAACATTTCCATTTGTTCCTTAATACCTTCAATTTTTTGCTAAGACTTTCTATTTTTTCATTTTTAAAAATCATGCTTGTGGCTGGGTGCTGTGGCTCACGCCTGTAATCCCAGCACTTTGGGAAGCCTAGGCAGGAGGATCATGAGGTCAAGAGATCGAGACCATCCTAGCCAACATGGTGAAACCCCGTCTCTACTAAAAATACAAAAATTAGCTGGGCGTCTCTAATAAAAATACAAAAATACTAAAAATACACACATTACTCAGGAGGCTGAGGCAAGAGAATCGCTTGAACCCGGAGGGTGGAGGTTGCAGTGAGCCGAAATCAAGCCACTGCACTGCAGCCTGGCGACAGAGTGAGGCCCCATCTCCAAAGAACAGAACAGAACAGAACATAACATAACATAACATAACATAACATAACATAACATAACATAACAATCATGCTTGTAATTGCTCATTGAAACATTTTCATGATGGCTGTCAGAAAATCATTGTTAGATAATTCTAACAACTGTGTCATCTTAGTGTTGGCATGTGTTGATCAAATTTTCCCTTAAGTTGAGATTTTCCCAATTGTTGGTATAAGCAGTGATTTTAAATTCAATTTTGGACATTTTGGATATTAACTTACGAGACTCTGGATCTTATTTAAATCCTCTATTTAGCAGGCCTTCTTTATTACCATTCTGGTATGGAAAAAATGACACTGCTAGGTGGGGTTGAACATCAAGTTCCCTCCATGACACCTAAGGGAAAGCAACACCTCTGTATTGCTAGGCAGTGGCAACAATTCCAGCTCCCTGCTGAGTCTCTCCTGATACTGCCCTGGTTGGTATCAGGCATGCATGATTACTACTCCCCACGTGGCTTTCACTGACACTTTGGTAAGAAGACCCCGTTATTGCTGGGTGTGCAAAAATGTCCTGACTCTCCACCAGGCCTCTTCTGATGCCACACAGTGGGGAGCTGGAGGGGCACTTCATTACCACTCCACCGTGATGAAAGTTCCAGTTCCTCACTTAGCCTTCTCTAACAATGCCTCAGCAAGGATTAGGGAGGAGGGAAGGCTGTGGGTTTTTTGTTGTTGTTGTTGTTAGCTTCTTTTTGTACTGTGCAGTTGGAGTAGAGAGATTCCTGTTTTAAAGTTTTCTAAGTTTGTTTTTTTTGGTCCTTTTGCTAAAAAGAACAGACATTTGGGGGACATTTTGGCTGTGCCTATAGGCATTTCCAGTTTGCTGACTTCTTCAGCCCAAGACTGGGATATATGAGCAAAGAGAAAACCCAGGGACCTCACAGCTATGCCATTCCAGAGATCTCAAGGTCCCTAACCAGCCTGCTGCTTCTCTCCACCTTTCAGATTCATTTTATGTTTGTTTTATATATGTGTCCAAGGTTGTTGGCTGTACCTAGCAGGAAGAACGCAGAGAAATACATCTACTCCATCTTTCCAGAATCCAGAGTCCAAACTTAGTTTTAAAAATATTTTGTTCAATTTTCCTGGTTATTCTCAATGGATGGGCCGGTCTGCAATAAGCAACTTTGCCATTACTGAAAGTAAAGACCTTGGTCATTAAAATAAAACAAAAAAAATTGTTCTAATTCACATTATTTGCTTTGATTTGTTCTTCATATACATAACTCTCTTAACTACTTCCTGAAGATAAATTTCTATACTGTCCTCCAAAAAGAATGACAAAGAAACTGGAAAAATTCCGTATTGAGAGCAAAAAATGCCAGTTAGAAAATGTATATCCTCATTGGGAATTACTAACAAAAATCCAACTGTTTTAAAAAAATGACATATGGATACTAAATAGTAAAGTTGTAAAAAGAAAAAACCTGACAGATGCTTTCAAAATTATTTATATATAAGTACACAGACATATTCTAACCTATTTTTATCTTTGGCATAATGTAAAGGAAATAATCCACACACAATAATTTTACCTAATAATGTTATTGTGCAAAATTTCTCACAAAGATAAAAAGTTTCATATTGGGTATTAAGTTGATAATAAAGGTACCTGATTTTTTTGACATTGAGATGAATTTCAATTCTACAGAAAAAGTCTTCATTGCAGTACTGTTTGTAAGAGAAAAGGACTTAAATCTACACATACATGCCCATCAATAGAGAAACTGATGAAATAAACTATGGCACAGCAGTACAACAAAATACTATGCTACTATGCAGTAGTAAAAATACTGGGAAACCTTTCTATGTACTGACGAAAAAAATCTCAAAAATATATTCCTAAATGAAAAAAGCAAGTGTCTACAGCCTGTTATATCTTGTATAAGAAAGGGGTGAAATGCATGGAATACTATGCAGCCATAAAAAAGGATGAGTTCATGTCCTTTTCAGGGACATGGATGAAGCTGGAAACCATAATTCTCAGCAAACTATCACAAGGACAGAAAACCAAACACTGCATGTTCTCACTCATAGGTGGGAACTGAACAATGAGAACACATGGACACAAGGTGGGGAACATCACACACAGGCCTGTCAGGGGCTGGGGGGCTGGGGGAGGGATAGCATTGGGAGAAATGCCTAGTATAAATGACAAGTTGATAGGTGCAGCAAACCAACATGGCACATGTATACCTATGTAACAAACCTTCATGTTGTGCACATGTACCCTAGAACTTAAAGTATATATATATGTATATATATAATATATAAAAGAAAGGGGTGAAATAAAGCTGCATATGCATATTTGGTGGTATCTGCATAATGAAACAGAAATACAGAAACTGCATAATGAAACAGAAATACTACACCTTGTAGTTAATAAGGTGATTAACTACAAGGCAGGGGAGAAAAGGGTCATAGGAACAGGTAGAAATGGAACCCCTGAATGTAAACATAGTCATACTGCTTTGATTTTGGGACCATTTGAAACTATTGCCTAGTTTAGATAAATCCTATAGGAAAGAAATTGGTTTAACTTTTATTTTAAAGCTGAATTTAAAACACAATCCACAATTCAAAATCCAGAAGACAAATGTTTGCCACCAGTTCCTGCATCCTTCTGAATCGTGATCCAAGTCCTCACGTGTGATCTTAGTCTTGCTGTGTTCTCTCACTGCAAACTGCAGTCCTACCACAGCCGCATGTCTTCCAAATGCTAATGCTATCAGTCCCATTAATCACAAAATCTTCTCATTGGAAGGGACTCTATCCTGTCATCCAATCCAGCCTCAGCCAGGCAAAAGAACAGCGATAGGCCAGCACAGGGTGATCACTACTTGTGAACACACAAGACAAAGCTACAGATGCCACTGATTTCTTCCCCTGACTAGATGGCCATGGTGGATATCTCCTTCCTGAAAATGTACATACGGATCCACCAGTTGTCTGGAATCAATTTGGTAGCCATCTGAACTCTAAACATGCATTAGCTAATATCATAATCTAAGAGACGATTAAAATTCTAGGAATGGCAATTGTTCTGCCAAAGCTTCATTTAGAGAAAATCAGTTTTGGAAAAAATATTTCCCCTATGGATCATTTTTCAAAACTAGCTGCCTGAATCAAAGAGAAAATGGCTAGTCAAACTCATTTATCCTCACAATAAAATAACGCAGCAAGGCAATGAATAGGCGAAGTCAGCAGAGAATTTCATTCATGTCCTTAATCAAAGGGTCAGTGCTATTCATTACCACATAAACATTGCTCATTTCCTTATATCCATTCTTGAGATATTTATTGCAGAGTTAAATTAAATATGATCACTTTCTCCCTTACTCTGACTTTAATAACCTGAAGGATAACTTCTTAAAATTTGAAACTCAATAAATATTTTCATTTCACTGCATTTTTAATAATCTAGAAAAACAGTGAAGATTCATTTAGGCAAAGTCACTACCATTTACATGAAACCTGACATTTCCTAATGAAAACAGAACTACCAATTTTCTCTACTGCAAACTAGCAACTGTACCTTAAATATTTATAAACCAGACCCATTCCAATTTTATTTGGGTTTAACATATTACACTGAATACCGGGCACTGAAGTCTGCAGCAATATAATTCCAGTTTCTTCTTCCATTCATGGGGAGGGAAAAGAGGACAGGGTGGCTGATGTACTGGTTGAGAATGCAGGCTCTAGAGTCTGAGTGCCTGGATTCAAGACCAGCCTGCACAGACTCTAATTGTGACTGGTCTTTGTGTCTCAGTGCTCTTAGCTATAAAACAGGAACAATAATAGTATCAAAGCATTCTGAGGATTAATTAAAATAATTCATGGAAACTGTTTCACACAGTGCCTGGCCTAGTCACTGTCAATAAAAATCATCTACTTTTGGCCAAGAGCAGTGGCTCATGCCTGTAATCCCAGCACTTTGGGAGGCTGAGGCAGGCGGACCACGAGGTCAGGAGATCGAGATTATCCTGGCTAACACGGTGGAACCCCGTCTCTACTAAAAATACAAAAATTTAGCTGGGCGTGGTGGCGGGTGCCTGTAGTCCCAGCTACTTGGGAGGCTGAGGCAGGAGAATGGCGTGAACCTGGGAGGTGGAGCTTGCAGTGAGCCGAGATCGCACCACTGCATTCCAGCCTGGGCAACAGAGTGAGACTCCGTCTCAAAAAAAAAATCATCTACTTTTATTACTCCCTTACATGTGCCTCACACTCCTGCTCAGCGGGATTCCTTGCTGCCTCATGAACGCACTGTGTGCTTCTGTCCTTCCGAGTCTCGTTCTTATTGTTCTGAGTATGGACCACCCAACTGCTTATTCCCTGGCCTGATGAAATCTTCTTCCCCTCCAAGGCCCATCTCATTCTGATCCAGTTAACCATTATGACTTGTCCCCACTGGCTTGTACCTCCATGCTCTTTGTTTGCAATTCTCTTATTAGATTTATTATATTAACCCTGACATCCATTACAGTAATTTATGACCCTGTCTCCTTCATGGATAAGGACTATGTCTTACTAGCCTATTTTGTTCTCTACAGTATTTAACAACCTGCAGAGTCATACTTAAAAAGCATTTATTGGATTTGAAACAGTCCTGCTTACTTGTGAAAGTGAGCATAATGTATCAACTACAACAGAAGCTCTCTCATAGGATATGTATAAAGATTAAATGAGATAATGTATGTAAAGGGCTACTAACAAGTTATTATCTTATTATCAACAGCTCCTATTTCTTCAACGTTTTATCACATGCTCAGCACTGTACTAAGTGCTTTACATGTGGGAACGCCTTAAACCAGGGCTTGACATAATCATCTTTCATTCCCCTTGCACAGAGTAGATGAAATATAGGTATTTTTAAATGACTGTTGAAGAAAAATGGCTCTGATATGGCAAATTTAAAAGTATCTGAATTTTCTACATTATTTAAAAGCTGACTTGATTAAATAACAAAATTCCTAATACTTCACAGTGTAGTTTTTTAAATTATTTATTTTTTTAGAGACGGGGGTCTCATTATGTTGCCCAGGCTGGTCTCGAACTCCTGGGCTCAAGCAATCCTCCTGCCTCAGCTTCCCAAAGTGCTGGGATTATAGGTGTGAATCACATCACCCAGCCTACAGCATAGTTTTAAGCATCAGAATATTCCAATATTCTACACTGAATTCCTAGTTAGAAATTAAAAAAATAAAGATGACAGATTTTTAAAAAAGAAATTAAAAAGAAAGTAATTCGAGATATGTAAATGGGATCTTGGAAATCTTAAAATTGAAGAGCTGTATTATGCAAATTTATATCCAGTGCTCAGGGCTATTAAGGGATGACAGGTAAGAAAAACAGCTCTGGGAATTTCTGTATGCCTTAATCCCCTTGACTGTAAAATAGGCCAATAGTTGGAATCTATTGCACAGGGTTGCTGTGAGGATTAAATCAGATTATGCCAGTAAAGTGATTAGAACATAGTAAAATGAAATATGTATTTATTTCATTTGTTTTTATCATGAGATGCCCCCAACTGTACTGTAAGTGAAGATCAAGGTGCCTGACAGTAAGAACACAAATTTTCTAAAGCATCAAGTGTTATAAATTCTTATTGGTGTGAAAATATTAGGAGGTTAGTTTTGTCTTCTCATTGCCATTTTAACAACTGACATGGGCATCACTAAGTAGTGAAAGGCGGGCGTGGTGGCTCACATCTGTAATTCCAGCACTTTGGGAGGCCAAGGAGGGTGGATCACCTGATGTCAGGAGTTCGAGACCACCCTGGCCAATGTGATGAAACCCCATTTCTACTAAATATGCAAAAATTAGCCAGGAGTGGTGGTGCATCCCAGTAATCCCAGCTGAGGTGGAAGAACTGCTTGAGCCCGGGAGGCAGAGGCTGCAGTGAGCCGAGATCGCGCCACTGCACTCCAGCCTGGGTAACAGAAACAGAGACCCTGTCTCAAAAAAAAAAAAAAAAAAAAAAAAAAAAAAAAAAAAAAAAAAAGTAGTGAAAGTCCCAGAAAGGCATCAGGATGGAGAATGTAAAAGCTTGGATAAGCTAAAAAAATTAGTTCGTTTTCTAAAATAAGTTTCTTCAGGAATTGAAATGCATACTTCAGCTCCCACATATATATCACTGTCAAGTTAAATAAAAAAATTATTAGATTTTTGTGCAGTGCTTTCTTTTATATTTAATAGATAAAATTTTAATTTTTCTGTTCACTTTAGCTTTTGATAGTGGTAAAATGAGGAATTAAAGCACCAAAGATTTGAAAGGCAAAATGCCACAATATAGGAAATAAATTGTGTCTTCTTTTACAAAGCATGGTTATGTAAGACAGTTAATAAAAACATAAAATATATTAAAAGAATCATTTAAACCAAATATAAAAAGAGATTTAAAGCTCCTTCTGATGAGTCCAGTTTCCTTGTATCACACTATGAATCTCTTTAAATATAACGACACACAAAGCTGGAAATTTTAAAATATGACGACACAGATGGAAACTAAAAATGCTTTGCAATGATTCATATGCATAATCCACTGCACTTATAAGCATTTCCTTTTTAAAATCTGTATTTGTAAAGGCACCAAAATAATCAGTTTCTCAAAATAATTCCAAGGCATTAATGAGATTTCCTACCAAAAAAATTACTCCCAAGACTAAAAGCCTAAGTATGCATGTCGTCTGCTTTATCTCAGTACAATCCAGGCTTTGAATGCTGTATGTATGGAGATAAAAAAAAGACAGAGGCTAACCCCCGGTGCTCTTTAGTCCAGACATGGAGCTGTTCATATAGAATAGCATGCTTTGAACCTCTAGATTCCACTGTCTAGTAAAAAACTACTGTCTAATAGTAATACTCCTGTTGAACGGGATGACATATTTAAGGCACTTACTTTCAAAGTAAAATTGAAGAGACTGACTGATTGCCAAATTTTAATTTTGCCTAGTAAAGATATTAAAGAAAACAACTATCATATATTATGATTAATAATTTATGAAGGAAGGGACATTTTAATGCTTCCAAGAATAGGAAGGCCATAATTTCAAAATAATGGCCAGTTTTGTGAATTAAATAAACTTTGAGTTCAACTCTTTATAGTGTTCTTATCTTTCCCATGTGGATAGGACTATAAAATATTTATCACAGATCAGCACCGTCTGTGATCCAGCACTTGGCATCACTAACAGAGGACATAAAATGTGTCAGAAATCCCCATAATGTCTACAAGTAGAGTATCCATTTTTATTTAATATAGTTAAAACAAAAGAAAATGGCAATAACTATCTCCTTTACATAAAATAATCTGTTTTAATAGAAATTTCAAATGTTAAGTATATGACTATATTATCAATGTCTAAATGTTTTTATTCTCCTTGATAAACACAGTAGTAGAAATGACCGAATCAATAAAGTTGGACCTAAACATCATTTTTCTACTCCTTTGTTAGAATAAATGTTCAGAATATTACTGGAAAACAGCCTCCAAAATAGTTACGTTTATATGTCAGTAGTCTTTTGAAGAATTCAAAGGGCAACAAATTTTCACATTATGAACATGGATACTCACAGCATTCTTCAGATGTATGTGTCAAATAGATATTAGCTGTGCATTATGAAAAGTGAAATGGATAGAAAAAGGCAAAGATTAGAAAAGAGACACCTGGCCAGGCGCAGTGGCGCATGCCTGTAATCCCAGCTACTCGAGAGGCTGAGGCAACAGAATCGCTTGAACCTGGGAGGCAGAGGTTGCAGTGAGCTGAGATTGCGCCACTGCACTCCGCCTGGGTGACAGAGTGAAACTGTCTCCAGAAAAAAAAAAAAAAAGAGAAGAGAGAAAAGAGACATCTAACTATTGCTTCATTATATATTCTCAGTGGCTGAATTAAAACAATAAATATACCTTAAAACTGATTTTTTGGACTCTCATTCATTTTAATAAAATTTGAATTTTTGATTAAGGAAATCCTATCCAAATCTGGTCACAAAATGACATTCAATAGCTGGACCCTTCTGTGAAAAATGAACATAATGGGGAAAAAAAATAAATAAACTACCTGAACCAATTTTATTTTTGGAGTAATTTTTAAATGTAATGTTAAAACTACTACCACCCACTACTAGGATGCAATATGGCTAAAATGCTAAAAGAAAGAATTAAAGTAAGAGTATATAAATATATTATCTATAAAATTGGCCCATATGCTCAAATTACTCTAAGCAGAATGTGAAATTTTACATTTTTATATTTAAAAATCTTGGCTAGAATATATCTTTGGTGGTACTAATAGACTTTGAAACTCTAAGCTTTTAAGAACAGCGCGGTGAAGTGGCACAGACTTTGAGGCAGACTATGTTTGCACCCTGGTTCCAAAACTTACTAACTGTGTGAAATTGGATTTATTACTTAATCTCTCTGTGTCCCAGAATCCTTCTCTCTAAAATGTGAATAATAATAGTACCTTTCTCACAGTGTAGGGAGATTAAATGAGATAACATATTTAAGGCACTTAGAAAAGGGGCTTGCAAATATGCTCATTATTATTAATTACTGTTATTACTGTATTGTCATTAACACAACATTATTATGATTACTGCTATTATTTATTCTTGGACACTCGAAAAACTTACCGTACATATGGAAGATTATCAAAAGAATTTAACGTAGTTTAAAGTGCCTTATTTATAAATTCTGACATGCAGAATTTCATCAGATGAGAAATGTTCAGAGTTCAGAGTTAAGAAAAAACAAAATGAGTAATTGCAAAGAGAGTGTCTTTCACAATAAAAAGTATCAATTATCTCCATCAAAACAAGAAACATTAAGGTCTGTATTCCGGAAGCCTAGCAATAAACCTGAGCAAGAATGCTCTCCTCAGAAAGGCAAACTCACCCCTTGTTCATCCAGTTTCATGAGCTGCTCTGTGACCTTGGGTGTGTTGAAGGCCAACCGCAGGCACTGGACATTGAGCTCAGGAACCACGTGCTCCAGCACTTCTTTGAGAGGCAGGCCTCTGGCTGTCGAGTGCTTGGCTGTCGACGGAATGGCGTCCTCCAGGACCGAACCTCTCAGTGTCATGAGCTGCAAGAGAGACAGGTGCTGTGGTGAGGCTTCTGGGATGTGAGATGCCTGAACACATGTACATGCACTGCAGGCCTGAACTGTGGGGCTCCTCACAGAGCTAGGGAATGATTTTTGATGGGTAAAGCCAGTGAGGGAGAAAGAATGAGAAAAGTGATGTAGGATACTGTAATATGAAAAATGAAACCAATGCTTTCAAGACCAGGGTGGGTCCAAAGGAGCACATAATCAAGACTTCTGAGGATATTTATTTAAAGACAAAAAATAACATTTCCTTAAAGAGATCAGTAAAGATCAAGGTCTCTATATGGCTATACCATGTCACTATGCATACTAATTAGGAAATTAAGAAGGCAGAACCCCAGAGCAATGTCTGAAGAATAAATACTTAGAATTTGGATGTTATACTTCTTTGAATTATAAAAAGGGGGAGATAAAGTTTTAAGCTTCATAAGGCATGGCTGACAAGCATAAACTATTCATATTACCAAATGCTGCTGCCACCGGACAATTATCACCATCAGTACAGCAGCACAGGCAATAGCAGCTGAAATTACTTTAGATTTTCTCTTATTTCTTAAAATACCTTCCCTTCTTAAAATACCCTCCATTAATACCTTAAGCAAAGACATTTTCCTACGTAATGATGTTGTTTTCAGAGAAAAGTTAACCAGACATGAAGCCTAAAGTAGTCTTAATTTCCAAAAATGTCTACAAGGCAAAGTTTTGTTAACCTAATTTAACTGCTGCATGGGGAAAGAAGAGAAAACCCATCAAACTGAATACATTTCCATTTAGCAACAGGAGCTACAAAAGCTAGGAGTGCAAGTTGAGGATTGTCAAATATGAGGGTGAGAGGTCAGAAAGACACACTGCAATCTCAGAAGGACAAGTATACCCAACAAAGTATAACAAGGTCAGGACCTCAGACAGTCCAAAGGCAGAGAATGGACCACAGTGGCTCAGGGCATAAAGAAAGGCCCCACTGAAAGGAGGGGTTTTAGGAAATGGCCATGAAATAGAGGAACAATTTCTACAAAAAGAAAATGTCAAGAGACAACATGAGCAAAGGTATGGAGATTGGGAAAAAAGGGAGTAAGTGGGAAGGAGTGATTATTGTAGATGGACACAAGGAGAGTACAGGGAGAAATGGATGAGGCAGCTGTGAGCTGGGGGTGCACAGAAGACCCTGAAGCTGACTGAGTGGTACACGCCTCACTGGGCTCCTACAGGTCAGCACAGGACGTGTTCGTAGGGGGACGATGTATACTCAGAAATTAAGCTGCAAATAAGATGAACTGTGAGAGGAAGCAACTGGAGGCAGAGAATGTAGTTAGAATGAGTACCTTTTTTCTTTCATTATAAACAATTTCTTTTCAAATAACAAGTAAAAATCATTTTCCTATTAATGTATAATTTGACACAAATAGTTTTTATTTTGTTTTTAAATCATGGAAAATCGTTAACTCAGTTATTTGACTGTTTTCTTCATGAGATAATACATAGCTTGAAATAGGGAGCCACAAAGGCTAGGGGTGTTCTCAACTTAGAAGCCAAGACCAAATTCAAGCCATTGCATCCTGAGCCATAGAAAGCAGCTAACTCATGAAAGCCAAAGCAGATGAGAAAAAGAATGGCTCATTTTTTACATCCGAATCACTAGTATTACTGATATTTTTCTTAATGACTTCCAGAAATAAGAATGGAGTCCTCATAAGTCCTCGTGTTCCTATGCTTAAAAACACTCACATGCCATAAAATTTTGCTCATAAACAAACTGCCATGCCTACAAAGGTATATATCTTCTTTTATGTTTTGCAATGTTTATTTATACTAAAATGAAAGAGATTTGTTTGTATTTCTGTTATCTTGCTGCCGCTTACTGAAGCCACTAGAGTGTCACTGTCATGTTTTCTTTTTTCTTATCTGCATGAGAAATTAGTAACATGAGAAGTCCCTGATACAAATTAAGTCTTGTTTCATTTGTAATAGGTAAATGGGCTTCAGTGAAAAAAGTGAAGGAACTATCTCTCAAAGTGCAGGAGCTACAGACAGGAACCAATATCTGGAAACATTTCTATCAAAAGTCTTAATACAATATTACCATTAAATCAAATTTATGGATTATTTATTATTAGAGAGAAAAAAATTATACAAAACCTAGTGGCAATTAATTACATAAATATTAGCGGGAGGAAGGAAGAAAGGAAGAGAGGAAAAGGAGGAAAGACATGGAGAAAGGGATGGAAGGAGACAGGCAAGGAGGGGAAGTGAGAAACAGGGAGGCAAGGCACCATTTGAGGAATCGGGCACGTTGTACTGAACAACTCGGACAGAAGCCCCCACCCTCCTGGGGCCTGCATTCTAGTGGGAGAGATTAAAAGCAAACAAAATGACTAAGTATAACAGAGAAGACAGTGTTAAGTATTAATGAAAAATAAAGCACTGAATTGGATATGAAATGGGAGGGGAATAGAAATTTTAGATTCAGCGGTCAAGGAAGGCCTCTGTGGTTTCTGAGTAAAGGCCAAATGGAGATGAGGCAGCCTGATGCAGAACACAGCAGTGGGGAGGAATGACGGGCATCTGAGCCCTGAGGCAGAGGTGTCCTGAGGTGGCCCAGGTAGGAAGGAGGCCAGTGTGGCAGGAAAAGACTGAGCCAGGAGGAGTTATCAGGGATGAGGCGCAGAGAGATAACCGGGAAACAGAAGAGCATGGTCTCCTAGGCTAGCAAAGACAGTGGCTGTTTCTCAGAGGGAGATGAGGAAGCTTTCAAGGATTTCGAACTGAGCAATGGCAAGATCTGGAATGACATTTCAAAGGAACCCTGTTGGGTCAAAAGGAGGCAGGGCTTCAGCATAGAAGCAGGGAGAACAGTTCTCAGAGCAAGACCAGGACCAGGACTGGGTAGTGAGGGTGGGAGAAGTAGTTGAGCTCTGGGCATATTGTGAAGACAAAATGAACAAGTGTTGCTGACAGACCAGATCTCAGGGGCAGGAGGGAGAAGATGGGAATAAAGTGTGGCTTTAATGGTTTCTGGCCTGAGAAAATACAGTAATAGAGTTGTCATAAAGTGAACATTAATTTGAACGTAAAAAACAAGTGGTAATGGTTTTTTTGAACACTTGACTTGAACCTTTCAGTCAAAGGCTAAGGAAACAGACCCAAGGGACACAGCTTATTCAAATGGCTTAGCTGGAGAAGAAGAGAATCTTATGACTACAGAATTCAAGTAGAACATTTCGGGTCAAGGGAGTAAAGCAGAAAGAAAAGAGGTGGGAAAGGTAAGAGTTGGTGTGGTTCACAGACCAGAGCAGAATTTAGGACAGATAGGTAGGAGACAGGGGCTGGGATCAGATGTGGAGAGCCTGCAAGACATGCTGAGAAGGGAAGCTCGTGGAAACCAGTGACAGGATCTGCTGAGAAGGGAAGCTCATGGAAACCAGTGACAGGATCTGACTCAGAAAGAATCATAGGAAACTTTAACCTCTGGCATGAAGGATAGGATGAACAAGTGATAAGGAAATGAATTTAGGTGGACAAAAAAACAACACAGAAAAGGAAGAATATGATGGGTATTTAAATCAGAGTGGCCTTGGGAAGGGAAAAAGAAGAGAATGCGAAAGACAAAAATACTTGGAAGTAAGATAAGAGAGTATCACTAAAAACTGGTAGGAACGGCCAGGTGTGGTGGCTCACGCCTGTAATCCCAGCACTTTGGGAGGCCGAGGCGGGTGGATCACCTGAGGTCGGGAGTTCGAGACCAGCCAGACCAACATGGAGAAACCTCGTCTCTACTAAAAATACAAAATTAGCTGGGCATGGTGGCGCATGCCTGTAATCCCAGCTACTCGGGAGGCTGAGGCAGGAGAATCACTTGAACCCAGGAGACAAAGGTTGCGGTGAGCCAAGATCGCGCCATTGCACTCTAGCCTGGGTAACGAGTGAAACTCTGTCTCAAAAACAAACAAACAAACAAACTAAACTGTTAGGATCTGGGAAGCTAGAGAGGAGCAACTACCTGCATACAAGTCCAAAACACAGAACATGACGTTCTTCGTGCCTTTGTGCTCAAAAAAATAATTTACACCACTTAATGATTAGCTTTGCCATGGAGAAAAAGCACATGAGAGTATGTTAGTTCATTTCTCTCTGGCCAGTGTAGACAACACATTAGATATTTAAGTCTTGTCTTTAAAAGTCCTATATTTAATTTCCCCGGAGTTCAGGCTTAGGAACTATTACTAAATGATGCCAACCCCGGAAACTTGCTTTGCATTCAATGGGGGAAATGAAGCCAAATGCCCTATTTAAACTAGTTTCAAAACCATTATTTTCTAGATGACTCAAGGGTATTAAGTATTAATGCATAACAAAAATCCTAAAGTGAATTAGCAACTGAGAGGCAATAAATCGATAAGTGGCCCAATTATACAAGTTTACAAAGAAAAAGGAGAACCTCATAGTCCCAAACTTGTTCATAGGTGTTTTAAAAAAAAAATGCTGTGTGGGTTCTTTTTATTTTTCCATGTCTTTTTTTTTTAGCCCAAACTTCATTTTAAAATAAAAAACTCATACATTGTGTATATTTAGATTCCTAAAGAGCTCTAACAGCCTGTTTCACTTACAATTAGATAGCCCCTGGTTCAAAGAATGTACCTTCTAGGTCTCAGACAATGGGTCCCAAAGATAGTGGAAGAAGTCAAGAATCTCTTTCCCTCCTTCTTCTTGGGCGAAGACATGAGCTCAGCAAGAGCTTGGAAGAGTGAATTAAGTCTTCAGTGGCCTTCTCTTATATCTAATATCCTGGCTCCTCAAGTTGGCTTGGCGCTTTCCAGTAGCCCTAAGCAGGATACACAATATCCCAGTGGGGATCTGAGGGCTCCAATTTCCTTGGGCCACACTTAATGGACATATCTTTCTCTGAATCAAAACTCCTCATTCATAGACTGCATCTATTCAGAGTCTGATGAAAAGAAGAGGTCCAGATCTAACCATCTTGTCCACCTCGATCTCCACCAGAATAAATGAAAGGGGACTTTGCTTACTCCAAAGACAGCTGTAACCATGTGCTATTAAATTTAATTGCTTTGCTACTGCTACTATTTGCTTTCTTCCCCATTTCAGTTAAACCTCAAACCTCTCTCATTTGCGACTTACCTCACTAGTTCTAAAAATTATTCGGTAGTTGTACGGAGATCCATTTTCTTTCATTTCATCTGGTTTTTCCCTTCGAATGCTCACAGCCACTGGACCAAGATTCTCATCAGCCCCAAAATAGTTCCAGTGTTCTTAGGTAAAATAAGACAAAACAAAGTTAGAAAATCTACCTAACACTTTGAAAATGTTACATTCTGCTCAGTATTTAAGGTTGTCACTCAGAAATTTTATCAATAAAATGTAAACATTTAACAAATATTAATATTCTTCAGTTAGTTATAAAAACAAAGACTTGGCTACACAGGTTTAGTTCCAGAGAAGATAACACTGAACACGGGTGGCCTGTTGAGTTTTTTACTACTCTACAGATTACTACTCTACTATTTCTCAAAATAAATTTGTATTTTCTCCCTATCTCCCACCATTTAAATAGGCTACATTTGTGCACACTTCCTTGCCTAAGAGAAGGCTTGTGCCAGGGCTTTTTAGTTTTTGTTTTTCAAAAACATTCTAAACATATTGAGAACAGAGTTTGAAGAAAGGGGGATTCCACCAGATTAAAAAAGATGTCCCTGGATTGGAGAGAGAGATGTGTGCTGCGAGTCTCTGGGCAGCACTCTGCTCCCAGGTGGCCTGTGTATGGTGGAGTAGGAGCTCAGAGGAAAGAGCTTCACAGTGCCCCAGGGAGGCAGGACCCAGGGCTCTGGGCCATAGCACGGTATCCCACAGTGCAGGGCTAATGTAACTTGTGTGTCCAGGTGACCGATGAGCCTAGGGCCTCTCTTCAATGTTCTGGCCTTTTGCCTAAGGCCCCAAACCTTAGCACAAGCCTCCAAAGGACTGGCGCTGAATTTACCTTTCTCTTGCAAAAAGAAAGATAGGGATCAAAATTAAGTTAATTTATAGAAAATGTTGAAAAGTGATATTTACTGTGCATATACATCTTTTAAAAATTTAAACTGTTGATACATACATGAGATGTTCACAGATGAGGAAGTCCACAAAACATGAAAATATATGAAAAACTGGAACAGATAATTTGTTTTTCAAACCTCCAAAATGCTTACTTTACATTACTGTATTTCATTTATACATTATTGTATTTCATTTATATCTGACACGGCTAAATGACTGGATTGTGACATAATATCTCATTATCACACAAAATGCATACACATTTGAAAATACATGTTATTTCCATACAAAATATAAGTATTTGAAAATCCATGAGAATAATAAGAAAAAATAGCATAAATATCGAATCATGTAGTTTAAAATTTAAGTAATGCATATGAAAATACTTTGCAGGTACTAAAGCACAATTACAAAAGCTACAATCATAAATGTTGAGGGCTCTCTAAGACTATTATCATAAGCCATGGAAATTCAAAAGAAGAAAAACACAATGGGAATACAAGCAACAAACATCTCATATATAAGAAATAACCCACTAAATGTCACAAAATTCATGTACAGACACTTATGCATATCCTCAAAGCACAGCACATGAGAAACACACTCAGATTATTTACTCTTACTTTGCACACAATTCTAATAAGCTTGGTTGTCTGGTCTTCAAGCTCACAGCTTTATTTCAGAGGTGTGATAATTCCAGGTGTTGACAAAGTCCAGGGTGTAGGGCTGATACAGACTTGCATGCAGACAGCAATGTGATAGAACAACTGACAACAAGGAAGAAAACAGAAAGGGAGGAGACAGAAATAGTACAAAAAGGCAGACAAGAACTTAAAGAGAAACAAGACAGCAGTCTGGGGCCATTTACTGAAGGAGCAAAGAGCTTAACATGCTTTGATACCCTCAGAGGATATTGTACCGCTGCAGCACAGATCAACAGTAGATGCATCAGAGTGTGAGTCACACTCATTACCTGGTCCTCGTACTTCATGGACTCTAATAAAAACCAACTTCTAGGAACCCCTCAAGTACACCCCACATATCTCACAATGGGCAGGTGGCATGGCAGTTCTCTGCTGCTGGAGAAATTCCCAGATATAGGGCCACTATAAATTCATCACCAATAACCTCAATTCATCCTCATCCTCAAGCTTTCCCTGGTCAGCAACTCTCTCCGTTTCTCCAGGGCAGATGTGGCAAACATGCTCTATTCTCTGGTAACCACTCCTCATCTACCTTCTCCTCAATTTTGGCAAATGACAATGTGTCTACAACACAAAGGAAATAAAGAAGCCATTTCAGATGCAAACCTAATCACCATCCACACAAATTCACCAGCATCCACACTCTAGCTTCTTTTTCTGTATGATCCAAAGCCCCACCCCCACCCATTTGCCCATTCCTCCTTCCTAGGGACTCAGGTACCTTGATGACCCTCTTTTTTTATCTTCAACTTCTCCCTCTAGACTTGCTAATTCCCATCATCCTTTAATTACCGTAAACTCACATTTATTCTCAACTCCTTACGACCTGTCAGAACTAAAGAATTATCTCCTCTTTCCTTTCTTCCATTGGAAACTTCTTGAAATAGCTGTCCAATTCCTCACTTCAGAATTATCATCTGACTTCCACTGCATGGGTCACCAATGACTTTCTCAAAGTTAAAACAAATGGTACTTTTGGTCCTTCCCTGGCTCAAACTCTCCATAACATCTAGCATAGATGATCACTTCATGTCTTCTAGAAACACTCTTACTTCCTTGTTCCTATGACATCACCCTCTTCTGATTTTCCTTCTACCGCTCTGGCTGTTCTAGCTCAGTTTTCCTCCCTCTTCCCATCTGAATAATCCACCTGCTTTCAGAACTTCAACTGCCACCTCAATGTTGACGACTCTCAGAGGTCTACATGTCCTCTCCAGACATCTCTAAGCCTGAGACCTTTTTTTGGTTTTGTTGTTGTTTATGTGTTTGTTTTGAGACAGAGTCTCACTCTGTCACCTACACTGGAGTGCAGTGGTGTGATCTTGGCTCACTGCAACCTCTGCCTCCTGGGTTCAAGCGATTCTCTTGCCTCAGCCTTCAGAGTAGCTGGGATTACAGGTGTGCACCATCATGCCCGGCTAATTTTTTATATTTTTTGTAGAGATGGTTGGTCAGGCTGGTCTCGAACTCCTGACCTCAAGTGATCTGCCCGCCTTGGCCTCCCAAAGTGCTGGGATTACAGGCCTGAGCCACTGTGCCGGGCCAAAGCCTGAGCTCTTTATATTTACCTAATGGAACCGTTTGTCCCACGCACATCTGCAAAAGTGAACCTATCACCTTCCCACAGAAACCTATATAGCTCCCCGTCCAGTCCCTATTTCAGCAACTGCTACCACATTCACCCAGTTGCTCATGCCAGGCCCACTGCCATACTCTGTGAATTCCAGCTTCTGGACATCTCTCAAATCCATCTTTTCTCATCCGACTGCCACTGATTTATCCTATCATCACTTGCCTGAGTGTTTGTAGTAGTCTTCTAACTGGTTTGTTTTTATCCAACTTAATTCACCCTGCCAGATGACCCTTCTAAAATGCAAATCTGACCAACTACTACGAAACTTAAAACACTTAGGTTCTTGTACCCTTTTCATGGTTACCCAAAGGTTCTCATAACCTGTCACTGTCAATCACTCCAGCCTCAGCTCACACCTTTCACCCTCTTAAATTTTGAAAACCAATGATACTAAACTTCTCTTTCAGGTGCTCAAACTCACAGTCTTTTATCATCTGAAAAAAATCTGCTGAGAACATTCTTTCCATAACCCCTCTTTATTTGTCTAAGTCCTCTAATTTTTAGGTCTCATCCGAAGTATGACATAGACATCTTTGAAAAGAGGGACTGAATACTGGAAGAAAATAAAAGTGTTTACTTTGGATATTGATACCAATAACTTTATTTTAAAGTGTTATGAATTCATAACAACACAAATTATTAAAACCAAATATTTAATATATCTCAAGAACAAAAATAGAAACATTACAAAAATGTAAATAAAATATAAATTTATAAACTAAAAATATTAAACAATCATTTTAGTATTACTGGTAGACAAAATACAAATTGTGTTAATAAGGTTACTTTGTTAATAATAAAAACTGTAAAATTAATGATAATTCAAACTTTTGGTGTGTCATTATCAAAACCTGACTACATTTTTTTGTAACTTTTCCCAGCTGCTAATGAAGTATATTTCTGAATTTGGGGAATGGTGATGGGATAATTATAAACTAAATTCCAACACTTTCTTCATACTCTAGCTTTAAACAAACTCATCTCTGGTTAGATAACGCTAGGAAGATATTTTTGAACTTGTGTCAAGTTTTTTCATTAAAAAAGAGCTCTTGCTATTATTTCCCAAATAGCTTTTCCAGCCAGTCTTCATCAGTATCGGTTCCATTGGTATGGATGGAGACTCCGGTCCAATTTCCCATGCTAAATTCACCACTATCATCACCAGACTCTACTTTTTCAAAAAGTCTTTGAACTTGAAAAAAAATTATTTTTACAATAAAAGCTCTGTTTTGGTCCACTGTCTTTTTTTTCTCTTAAGGATTACAGAAGTATAGAAAAAACTCTTTCCATATGAACATAAGTTTATTCTATTCAAAATCCTAATGTACTATTTAAATTTAACCCTCTGGTACAGGAGCATTTCATTCAGCAAATCACCATGCATCACAATTTTCAGGTTTTTGTTTTTTTTTTTTTTGGAGACAGCGTCTTGCTCTGTGGCCCAGACTGGAGTGCCGTGGCATGATCTTGGCCCACTGCAACCTCCGCCTCCTGGGTTAAAAGGAGTTCAATTGTTCAAGCAATTCTCCTGCCTCAGCCTCCTGAGTAGCTGGGACTACAGGCACGTGCCACCACGCCTAGCTAATTTTTCTATTTTTTTTAGTAGAGGTTTCACCACATTGGCCAGGCTGGTCTCAAACTCCTGACCTCAGGTGATCTTCCCACCTCAGCTTCCCAAAGTGCTAGGATAACAGACATGAGCCACCACACATGCCTACAATTTTGAGATCTAAGCTAGAAGATACTGGACTGCAGTCTCCTCCTTCCTTCAGGCCCCTAGTCCCCGGGCAGTATGTCTACACTTGCTCTGTGATGTAGCACTTTAAATTTGTTTTCCTATCAGCCATCGACTTCCATTGTTTGCTAGTGAAGATATCCATAATTACAAAGTGTTCTTCTAGTCAAATCCACAACTGTCTTTCTCTTTCTTCTGAAGTGAAAAGTTTAGCAGGGAAGGGGAGTAAGGATGAGGGAGTTACAGATGAAGTGTGTCAAAGAAAGGCAAGGAAGACTTCGATGAGCAAATTCAGGATGAGAAAAGTCAGGGGAAGGGAAGAGGAATTGGAAACTCAAGTAGAGTGGATAAAGCTTCTGATGGATGAACTGAAATACAGGTATTAAACCACCAGAAATTAGAATATTTTAGAGCCAGCATACCGGGATGCCAAAAACCAATACAGCAATCACCATATTAGAATGATATAATGCAGCAAAGCAAAGCATTTTGCCAAGTACTCTAATAATCATATCAACCAAAAAAAAAAAAAGGTACTTCCTTCTTTTTTATACATGTGGCAACTTTGATTTAAAGAAGATAAGTCACTTAGTCAGAAGTAGTATATAGCAGTACCAGATTTAAACATATTAACTGCTGATTTAATGTTAATTAATCAGCTCATTTACTTAGCCATTACACACAATATTATGTTCCCATAAGTTTCTAAAATTTTATTATGAATAAAAAAATCATTAAATAAAACTTGGTTCCTAAAGGAATAAACTATTTATCTAGTCAGACGAGACATAATGCTTTATTTCTTGATGTGCTGTTTAGCTAAGGTTTTGTTGAAAGGGGGAGAGATTAACATTATATCCATATACGGTTGACTTCCTTCCACCTACTCCATTCCTCACATTTAAATGTTTAGTGTGAAGTTTTCTTATTAGTTCTGGTTCTTGAGTTTTAACCAGGATGGTACAAAGAGTAACAATAAATAATTATGTCATCATTAAAATATTCCAGGTAAATAGTTTTATTTTTGGTTGATACTTTCACAATAATGATTATAATAAAAATTTCACATTCTTAGTGAGGGGAAACAGCGAATAGTTCAAAGCTCAAAGTAATTAGATCAGGTACAGTCCAATCACCTGATTATAAGATATATAAGCATGTGTGTACAAGGCAAAGAAAGTTAAGCTTGGTGTTTTACTTGTGAAGGGGAAAGGAAACTACAATTACAAGAGTTACAGGGCTTTAACTATCAATTTTTTGTCACTTGCACTGGTTATCATGGTATCTGCAGGCTATGTATTAATATTTCAGTTGCATACTTCCCTGAGGACATCTATAGCATAATCTGAACTGAATGTAATTATGAACAGTAAAAATATAGTTTTACAAGTAATCTGTAAAGTTATAATTTATTGCTTGAAACATGTTTACAATAGTTAATTTAAATTGTTTAATAGAAAAAATAGACATCATAAACATGAATCAAAGAAACACAAAGCAAATAAAACTTAGCTACTATCTCATGCCTAACCCAATATAAAAAACAATGTTTCTGAAATAAAAAACCAGCCCTTGGTAGAGACGTAATATATTCATATATTGCTGGTGGCACTGTGGATTGGTATCAACTGCTTTTGAAAGCAACACGGCAAGATATGTTAAAGTCACAAAAATGTTCACATCCAAATCTTAGAATTACCCTAATTGATCATACAGAAAGAAAAATAAAATCTTTTCCATTTTTCCCAAGAAAAAAACACCATAAGTCAATGTATAATGGGGATGCTAAATATACAAGTAATAAGCAGACAGACTTGGGCTTCATCATATATCAGCAGGTCAAAGAATGGAACAGTGACACTTCAATAGCTTAAATTAAAATTATTTCACCATTTTTAACATTTAAACTATTTTTTTTTAAATAGTCGACTTGGTTGGTTACATGTGTGCCACCATCAGTACAGTTAACAACATAAAATTTCACCCTCAATGTTTTCATCAGTTTAATATTTTCATTAGACATACACATGCACACATATGTTTATTGCAGCAGTATTTACAATAGCAAAGACTTGGAACCAACCCAAATGCCCATCACTGATAGACTGGATAAAGAAAATGTGGCACATATAAACCATGGAATACTATGTAGTCATAAAAAAGAGTGAGTCATGTCCTTTGCAGGGACATGGATGAAGCTGGAAGCCATCATTCTCAGCAAACTAACACAGTAACAGAAAACCAAACATCGCATGTTCTTACTCATAAGTGGGAGGTGAACAATGAGAACATGGACACAGGGAGGGGAATATCACGCACTGGGGCCTGTCAGGGGGTGGGGGTCAAGGGGAGGATTAGGACAAATATCTAATGCATATGGGGCTTAAAACCTAGATGACAGGTTGATAGATGCAGCAAACCACCATGGCACATGTACACCTATGTAACAAACCTGCACGTCCTGCACATGTATCCTAGAACATAACATAACATTAAATTAAATTAAATTAAATTAAAATAACAACTAGGAAAAAAACTCACTGTTCAAATTTTTCAGGTTTTGTTTTTGTCCAACTTCTTACATCTTAATCTGACTAATGACTAAGAAAGAGAGGACAGAGCTAAAGGATTGGAGAATTCAATGTTAAAAATAAAGAAATTTATTATCTTGTTAAAAGGAAACACAGGTCTGCCAAAGTGGACATAATAAGAGGCCAACTGTTTAAAGAATGGCTCTCCTGGGAAGTGCACCACTCAGATTCTCAGTTTCTGGTCCTCAAAGGGCTCATCCTAATTTTAAGGGTGGAGGTTCCATGAGAACTAAACAGCCTAGGACTTCGCACCATAATCAAAAGCAGGTCAGAGTAATGGATGGGGACATTTAAACAGGACTGGCCACATGCCAGAATTCTGTCCCAAAGCATGGCACTAAGCTTATAATTACTGTTGCCTAAGAGTAATTGCTCACATTTACAAACTGCATAGTACTCTGACATTCCATTTCTTCTTCCCATAGGTAACACTTAAAAAGTGGGGTGATGTATTTGCCAAGATTACATGGAATTTGGGGGTTTAAAACAGTATCTAAAGTAGCACCTAATAGGCCTCTAATTTTTCAGTAAAAGGCAAACTTTAGTATGAAGTTATGTTGATATTAATAAATTGCATCTAAATGATTAAAGAAAAAAATACAAAGAAAACCCTATTTAAAACAAAAGGACATACATTCCAACTTTTCTGTACATAAAAAAATTATTTTTAAATAAAGAGAGGATGAAGATTAGCAGAATCATGAGAGATTTTTTATTGGTTGCTATCAGTCTATGACAAATGGCCAATAGTTATATTTTTAAAAACTGAAACTCACTAGTGATCAAAGAAACAAAATGTCTTTTGTTGGTCTTTAATAAATGTTCAAAAATATAAACTGTAAATATTCATAGTAGTTAAGAGAATGTTAAACTACAAGTCTTAAACACACCAGTGGATCTTTCTGGTCTAAGCTTTCTTAAGAGCAATTTGGCAATAAAAATCAAGGCTCACATTTCATTTACAGGGCTCCACCTTATGGAAATAATTAGATATGTGGAAAAAACTTATATTACAAGGCTGTGGCTAGGAACAGAAATTAGGGGGTCTATAAACTTGACTGAAAAAAATGCATCTTTATTTTTACTAACTTCTAACTGAAATTTAGTGTTTTCATCAATTATAAATGCAGACAACAAACAATATTAGTTGTACATGTGACTTTGACACCAATAGAAATCACAGTTTAATATTACATTAAAGTTGTTGCAGACATATCAGAATATTAACTACACTCACCCCTACTTTGAAATGATGGTAATTAACAGAGCTGCTGCCAGGTCTTTTTTTCATGAAATAAGAAAGAAGCACGTCCATTACTATATCTCAAAATTTTAACACTTCTGCAACTGTGCTTCAATATATGCTTGGTTTGCTTTGTATTTTTACTCCATGCACTTTAAAATATTATTCTGGCAGGGCAGGGTGGGGTGGGGGGCGCAGGGGAAGTGGCTTACTAATCAAGGTCAAGGTAGGAGGACTGCTTGAGCCTAGGAGTTCAAGACCAGCCTGAGCAACAGTGAGACACCATCACTACAAAGAATTGGCCAGGCGCGGTGGCTCATGCCTGTAATCCGAACACTTTGGGAGGCCGAGGTGGATGGATTGCTTGAGGTCAGGAGTTGCAGACCATCCTGGCCAACATGGTGAAACCCCTTCTCCACTAAAAATTCAAAAACTAGCTGGGCATGGTGGTGTGCACCTGTAATCCCAGCTACTTGAGAGGCTGAGGCAGGAGAATCACTTGAACCCAGGAGGCGGAGGTGGCAGTGAGCTGAGATCACCCCACTGCACTCCAGCCTGGGCAACAGAGCAAGACTCCATCTCAATAAATAAATAAATAAATAAATAAATAAATAAATAAATAAATAAAATATTAGCTGGGCACAGTGGTGCACACCTGTAGTCCCAGTCATTTGGGAGGATGAGGTGTGATGAGCACTTGAACCCAGGAGATCAAGGTGGCAGTGAGCTGTGATTATGCCACTACACTCCAGCCTGGGTGACAGAGCAAGACCCAGTCTCAAATAGGTAAATAAATAAAAATTTATTCCAAGGAGAGTTCGTAGGCTTCACTAAACTGTTATTGGGATCAATGGGGCAACAACAACAAAAAATTAAGACCAGCTAATGTAAGCATTATTTATTATAACAAGAATTGGAAAAAACAGCTGAAAAACTTTAAATAAGAGATGGCATGGCCCAATATAGAAGCAGGACAAAAATATACAACTGTATTTAAGACTCCTTATTTATTTTAAAAAGGAGTATGCATGTATTAAGACTGATGGGGCAGAAATAAAATCAATAGCATTCCCAAAAATTTATTTTCTATAGTTTCTATTTTTTCTATAATGATATACATATATAACTTTTATAATTGGAAGTTTTTTGTTTGTTTTTGTTTTGTTTTGTTTTTTGAGACAGAGTCTCGCTTTGTCACCCAGGCTGGAATGCAGTGGCACGATGGCTCACTGCAACCTCCAACTCCCAGGTTCAAGCAATTCCTCTGCTTCAGCCTCCTAAGTAGCTGGGATTACAGGCATGCACCACCACGCCCGGCTTACCTCTGTATTTTTAGTAGAGACGGGGTTTCACCACGTTGGTCAGGCTGGTCTCGAACCCCTGACCTCGTGATCTGCCTGCCTCGGCCTCCCAAAGTGCTGGGACTACAGACATGAGCCACCGTGCCTGGCCAGAAGATTTCTTTTTTTTAAGTATAAAAAATGCATTTGGTTTGCAAATGGTCAATGACTATAAAGAGTATGTTTAAAAGTTGCATATTAATGCAACTTTTTATTTTTAATGTTAATACCAATTCAAACATTAGCTTAGGAAAAAAAATTAACATCTAAATGAAAGAAATTACAATGAAACACTTGTATGTAAATGAATTTCCTTATATTTAAAGCACCCTTCATACCTCCTTACCAGGGATATTGCAGCAAGATGTCTTCCTATGGAAAAGGCTATTGAAGGATTTAGGGGGAAGTCTCTAACAGGTAGCCAGAAATTCAGTTAAGGCAGAAGTCACTACCGCTAACAAGGACAGGGACCATGCAGTGTCCCAAACACTTAGCAAAATCTACCTCTTTGTTGACTAAATGTTCACATGAGTCCTAGAGATGGCTTCTGCTCATGCTTCTCTCAGACTTGACTTGAATGCAAATAGGAAGATGTCTCCTCTCATTGCCTTGATGCTCACATTAATGGGCTCACCATACAGAGGAGGGAGCTCCATTAGAAGACTGGAAAAGGAATTGATGCAATAAAGCAAAATTTTTTTTGAGCACCTAATTTCAGGGCTCAGAATGAGGGTCTCACTGAAGATATAATGAGGTATACATTTGGGAAATAGGTGGCAAGTTTGATTATGTGTGTCATCAACTTGTACTGAAAGAACAGATCTAAAAGGCCCTTTGTTTCGAGAATGCCAAACAAAGAGCACAGAAACTCACTGGAATATGGAAATCAGCAAGCAAGGTAGTTACTTTGATCTTTTTATGTGGATGGTGTTGGGGCACAGATAACAATACCCCAAAGTATGGTGCTTTTGCATGCTGGGCACTTTTTAATTAAAGAAACTGAAAAGTCTTAGAAGCTGTCTCAGAACCAAGGACCTTCTAAATCTTCTCTAGTTTCTCCCCTGAAAGCAAAGGGAGGGACTCTGGAATTTCCTTATCTGACTGAGGAAACTTCTTACCAAAAGAAGTGGCACTGTCTTAAAACTCCCTCCCTAGGAATCACATCAGATAACCAGGAAAGATTAACCACTTGAAATCACAGGCCAATTTTCTGTAGTGATGGTGTCTCACTATGTTGCTCAGGCTGGTCTTGAACTCCTGGGCTCAAGCAGTTCTCCCACCTTGCCTCCAAAAGCATTGGTATTAGTAAGCCACTGCCCCCTGGCCAGAGTAATGTTTTAAAGTGCATGGAATAAAAATACAAAGCAAAACACCAAGCATATTGAAACACAGTTGCAAAAACGTTAAAAGAGAAAACACTAATAGTCACCACACCATGCAGGCTTTTCATCTATTATGCCGAGGGCAGTCCCTGGAAATTACCTGGGCAAGTTTATCTGCAAATTAAAACCACCATTGTTCATAGTGAAGTTCTGCCCCTCACCTTCCTGTCACCTCCCCCTGGAACTCGGAGAAGCTTTGTTCCAGGACATTATCTATTCTTTGGGCTCATTCATTCCCCCTGAAAATCATTTACTACCCTCACAATTGCCTACATCCCCCAATTCCCTCTACACTATGAAGGAGGTGCTATTTAAGCTTCAATCATCTAGCCAATCTTTTGGTGTCACATCTTCTATGGTTCCTGTGTTTATGCATGTATATGACTGTATATGAAGGTTTTTATTTGTTTTTATTTTTTTCTTCTGCCTGAAAAAAATAAAAAGTTTTAACTTTTTATCTGGACTCCTTTTAGACTCAGAGAAAAGTTACAAAAATAGTACAGGTTATTTCCGTATTGCTCACCCAGACTCCCCCAGTGCTAACATCTTACATAACGACATACAGTACAATAATCATTGTCAAAACCAGGAAATTGAACCTGCTTGGTTGGGACCGGTTGGGAGCGTGGAGAGACTCCCTAGTGCAGGGTAAGTGAGAGATCCCCCACGAGCCACATTTCCATTGTGGACTCACTCCTGTAATCCTAGCTATGGAAGAGCCCCATGACCCTTGCAGGCCCTGAAACAAACATAAGGAGATGCCTGGAAACCGTGCCAGGGCAGTGCTCAGGACGAAGCCCACAATTGGTCCAACATACCCTCCTGAGTCCTACGCAGCTACAGCATGCATAATGACACCATTTTGACAGCCTAGTCCCAAAAAGACTGCACCCTGCCCTAGGGATCAACAGCACTTGCATCTCCACATTCCTGGAACCCCACCAACATCCCCTATATGCAGCCACTGCCACAGCAAACTGCTACCACCAGGGCTGAAGCATGGGCCACCTGGCAGCAAACCCCCTTCCTCCAGCAGAGGAAGATCACCCATTTTCACATGCCCAGACAGACTTCACGGCCTGCAGGTGCCTTTGTTGTGGGCTGCCATCACCGCGGCTGAAGCACAAGGGAAGGGCATGTTTTCCACCCGTCTGCATGTGGCTGCTGCTACTGAAAGCAATCCCGCCACCCCCAGGAGCACAGCCACAGAGCAGCCACTGCCATCCCCACCTGAGCAATCTTCCAGGGGTCTGGGGATAACTCAGCCCCTGCCCACCATAGCCAGTGTTTCATGTGCCATCAAGGAGGCAGAGGTCAAGCTTTCTCGGCCCACCATAGCCATGGCCAACACCAGTGCACACCACTTAGAACTCAGAGGGTCATCCCACTACTGTTACTGCTATCACCCCTATCATGCCTGCTTCCCAGGGCCCAGGACTCCAACAACTGTACAGCCCACTGCCAACATTACTGGTATCCAAGCAAGCTACCTGTAGCCCCAGAATTAACCTGCCAGGACCTGCTGGCACAAGTGCTGGTGTTTGCTGCCCTGAGGCCCAGACACACACAGACTCAGTCCAACACTGCTACCACTGGACTCGACGATTGGCCCACCTCCTAGGCACCAGCAAAAGTTCAGCAGAGCCTCCATTAACAACTGTACCCTAAGTTATTGAGGAAATCACAGACACAACTTATGCTGTTTACAGACAAAGACATTATACAGAGACTATACTACTACATGCACCCAGAATCAAAGTCAAAATGCCCTACCCAATCAGCACTACAGATACATTTTCAGAAAAAGTCCGTCCCCATGAAAGTAAACTCAAAAAACTTCAAGAAGCAACTGTTACATCAGATGTGTACATAGTAATGTAAGGACATAGAAACCATGAAAAAACTAAGAAATATGACATCTTAAAAGGAATAGAATTAAGTCTCCAGCAACAGATCCCAAACAAAAAGAAATATACAAAATCCTAGAAAAAGAATTCAAAATGTTGATTAATGAAGCTCAGTGAAATACAACCAAATACTGAAAAACAACACAAATATATCAGAATATGAATGAGAAATTTACCAAAGAGATAGAAATTATAAAAAGAAACAAACAGAAATATTAGAAGTGAGGAATTCATTGAATGAAATACAAAATACATTTGAAAGCAACAACAATAGACTAGATTAAGCAGAAAAAAAAGAACCTCAGTACTTGACGACAGATCTTTTGAAATAACATAGTCAGTCAAAAATTGCAAAAAAAGAATAAAAAAATGCAAAGCTTATGTGACATGAGACATTATAAAGCAATCAAATATTCAAATTTTCAGAGTCCCAGAAGGTGAAAAGAAAATCAAAGGGTTAGAAAATATATTTAATGAAATAATAAGATAAAAACATTCCAAGTCTAGCAAGAGATTTAGATATCCAGATACAGGAAGCTTACAGATCCCCAAACAGAAACAATAAAAAAGGGTCTTCTCCACAGCACATTTTGGTCAAACCATCAAAAGCCAAAGACAAAAATAGCAAGAGAAAAGTGTGTAGTCACTTATAAAGGGACCCCCATCAGACTAACAGTGGATTCTAAGCAGAAAACTTATAAGCCAGTAGAGAATGGGAAGATATATTAGAAGTGCTGGGGAAAAAAAAGAAAAAAAATAAATAAATAAACCTGTCAGCCAAGGCTACTATACTCAGCAGTTATCCTTCATAAATGAAGGAAAAAGAGTCTTTCCAAGACAAGCAAAAGCTGAGATAACTCATCTTTTTTTAGTGTTAAATTCAGTGCTAAAAAAAAATGCTTAAGTGAGTCCTAGCCCTGGAAGTGAAAGAATGATAACTACTACCAACATGAAAACACACAAAAATGTTACCACTCCAGAAATCCACCAAACTTGGCCAGGTGCAGTGGCTCCCACCTGTAATCCCAGCACTCTGGGAGGTTGAGGCAGAAAGAATGCTTGAACCTAGTAGTTTGAGACCAGCTTGGGCAACATAGTGAGACTTCATCCCTAGAAACAAATTTTTAAAAAAATTAGCTAAGGCCAGGTGCAGTTGCTCAAACCTATATTGTTCTAGCACTGTGGGAGGCTGGAGCAGATGGCTTGAGCTCAGGAGTTCAAGACCAGCCAGGGCAACATGGTGAAACCTCATCTCTATAAAAAAATATAAAAGTGAGCCAGGCGTGGTGGCATGTGCCCATAGTCCCAGCTACTCAGGGGGCTGAGGCAGGAGGATCACTTGAGCCTGGGAGGCAAGAGGTTGCAGTTAGCTGAGATCAGGCCTCTACACTCTAGTCTGGTTGAGAGAGCAAAACTTTGTCTCAAAAAAAAAAAAATTTATATATATATAAATATATATAAATATATCTATATATAAATATATATAAATATATATAGATATATAAATATATATATATTTATATATATCTTGCTCTTGCTCTGTTGCCCAGGCTAGAGTGCAGTGGTGCAATCTCGGCTCACCGCAACCTCCACCTCCCAGGTTCAAGTGATTCTCCTGCCTCAGCCTCCTGAGTAGCTGGGATTACACGCACGTGCCTGGCTGATTTTTTTGTATTTTTAGCAGAGATGGGGTCTCACCATCTTGGCCAGGCTGGTCTCGAACTCCTGACCTCGTGATCCACCCGCCTCGGCCTCCCAAAGTGCTGGGATTACAGGCGTGGGCCACTATGCCCGGCTATATTTCTTTTTAATTAGTAAGGCATGGTGGCACATGCCTGTAGTCCTAGATATTCAGGAGGCTGAGGTGGGAGGATCACTTAAAGCCTGGGAGTTCAAGGCTGCAGTAGGCCATGATCACACCACTGTACTCTGGCCTAAATAACAGAGTAAGCATCTGTCTCAAAAGAAAGAAAAAAAAAGAAAACCACCAAATCACAGTGGTAAATAACATGAGAAAGAAACCGATATATAAAATAACTAGAAATCAATTAATAAAGTGACAGAAATATGTCCCCCCTATAAATAATAACCTTGAATGTAAATAGATTACATTTTCCACAGAAAAGATATAGATCGGCTGATTTGAAAAAAAATATATATATGATCCAACTATATAATATCCACAAGAAACTCATCTTACCTCTGAAGAAACATACAAACTACAGTAATAGGATAAAAAAGGTATTCCATGGAAATGGAAACCAAAAGTGAGCAGGAATAGGTAGACTTAGATAAAACAGACTTTAAGTCAAACAAAGTAAGAGACAATGAAGGCCATTATATAAGATAGATCAACTCAGCAAAAAGATGTAACAATTCTAAACATATCTGCACTCACCACCAGAGCACCCAGATACATAAACAAAACATTATTAGATTTAAAGAGAAAGACTCCAATACTATTATAGTTAGAGCAGTGGTCCCCAACCTTTTTGGCACCAGGAACAGGTTTCATGGAAGACAATTTTTCCATGGATGGTGGGGACAGGGGACAGGCATTAGATTCTAATAAGGAGGGCACAACCTAGATCCCTCGCATGTGCAGTTCACAGTAGGGTTCATTTGCGCTCCTATGAGAATTTAATGCCGACGCTGTTCTGACTAGAGGCAGAGCTTAGGTGATAATGCTGGCTCACCTGCTGCTCACCTCCTGCTGCGCAGCCTGGTTCCTAACAGGCCACAGACCAGTGGTTGGGGACTCCTGAGTTAGAGACTTCAATACCCTACTCTCATCCTTAGACAGATCATCCAGACAGAAAATCAATAAAGAAACACTGAATTTAAGCTACACATTAGACCAAATGGATATAACAGACATTTACAGAATATATTTCATTCAGTAGCTGCAGCATACACATTCTTTTCATCAGCACATAGAACATTCTCCAAGATAGACTGTATGTTAGGACCCAAATAAGTCTCAACAAAACTTTAAAACTTGAAATAATATCAAGTATCTCCTGAGACCACAATGAAATAAAACTAGAAACCAATAATAAGAGAAACTCTATAAACTGTAAAAATAAATAGAAATTAAACAATATGCTCCTGAATGACCACTGGGTCAAAGAAGAAACTAAAAAGAAAATGAAGAAATTTCTTGAAGCAAATGAAAACCAAAAAACAATGTACAAAACCGATGGGATATGGCAAAAACAGTGTTAAGTGATAATTTTATAACAATGAGCAACACATCAAAAATAAAGATTTCAAATAAGCAATCTAATGGTGTACCTCAAGAAACTAGAAGAGTAAGAACAAACCAAATCCAAAATTAGTAGAAGGAAAGAAATAACAGATCACAGAAGAATTAAACAAAATAGAGACTAAAAACACAATAGAAAAAAATCTACAAAATAAAAAGTTGTTTTTTTTGAAAAGACAAATACAATCAATAAACCACTTGGTAGGATAACCAAGAAAAAAAAAGGGAGAAGACCAAAATAAAATCAGAAATGAAAAAAAAGACATCACAACTGATAACTACAAAAATACAAAAGATCAGAGGCACTAACAAACTAAAAAACGTACAGGAAATGGATGAGTTCCTGGACACATACAACCTATCAAGATCAAATCCAGAAGACGTAGAAAATCTGAAGAAAACAATAACAAGTTATAAGATCATGCAGTAATAAAAAGTCTCCCAATAAAGAAGAGTCTAGAACCCAATGGCTTTGCTGTTGAATTCTATCAAACTTATAAAGAATACAAATTCTCCTCAAAGTATTCCAAAAAACTGAAGAAGATGGAATTCTACCTAACTCATTCTATGAGGTCAGCATTACCCTGATACCAAAACCAGATAAGGACACAACAAAAAAAGAAAACTGCAGGTCAGTATTCCACATGAACATACATGCAAAAATGTTCAACAAAATATGAACAAACTGAATCCAACAACACACCAAAGAAATAATACACCATAACCAAGTGGGATTTATCTCAGAGATGCAAAGATGGTTCAAAATATGCAACTCAATAAGTATGACATATCACATCAACTGAATGGAGGACAAAAACCATATGACCATCCCAATACACATAAAATTGTTTGGTAAAATTTTGCATCCCTTCATGATAAAAACTCTCAACAAACTAGGCATAGAAGAAACAGACCTCAACATCATAAAGGGCATATATGACCAACCCACAGCTAACATCACAATGAATGGGGAAAAGCTGAAATCCTTTCCTCTAAGAATTGGAACAAGACAAGGATGTCTACTTTCACCACTCCAATACAGTATTGGAAGTTCAAGCCAGAGCAATCAGGTAAAAGAAAGAAAGAAAAGGCATCTAAATCGGAAAAGATGAAGTCAAACCGTCCCTCTATGCTGATGATATAATCTTATATCTAGAAAAAACTTAAGTCTGCACCAAAAAAATCTTAGATCTGGATCATTAAATTCAATAAAGTTGCATTATACAAAATCAACATCAACATAAAATTCAGTAGTGTTCCTTTACACCAATAACGAATTAGTTGAGAAAGAAATCAAGAAGGCAATCCCATCTACAACAGAAACAAAAACAAAAACAAAAAACAAGAAAAGAAAAATACCTAGGAATAAATTAAACCAAAGTTGTAAAAGATCTCTATAAGGAAAACTACGAAACACTGTTGAACGAAATTGAAGAATACACAAACATGTCCCATGCCCATTGATTGGAAGAATTATTATCATTAAAATGACAACATTTTACAGATTCAGTGCAAATCCTCATTCAAAATATCAATGTCATTCTTTGCAGAAATAGAAAAAACATCCTAAAATTCATATGGAACCAAAAAAGAGGCAGAAGAGACGAAACAATCCAGAGCAAAAAGAATGAAGCTGGAAACATTATATTACCTGACTTTAAAACATATTACGATGCTACAGTAATCAAAACAGCATGGCATTGGTCTAAAAACAGACACAAAGACCAATGGAACAGAATCCAGAATACAGAAAAATTCATATATTTACAGCCAACTAATTTTTGACAAAGGTGTCAAGAACACACAATGGGGAAAGGACACCCTCTTCCCCTCTTCAATAAATGGTGCTGGGAAAATTCTACAATCCTGTCTCTCGCTATATACAAAATCAACTGAAGATGGATTAAAGACATAATAAACATATGACCTGAAACTATAAGGCTACTAGAAGAAGGCAAAGGAGAAATGCTCCAGGACATTGGTTTAGGCAAAGACTTTATGGCTAAGACCTGAAAAGCACAGGCAACGAAAACAAGAATAGACATATGGGACTATACTAAAGTAAAAAGCTTTTGTACAGCATAAGAAAGAATCAAAAGAGTGAAGAAACCATGAGTTTAATGGGGTAAAATATTTCCAAATTCTTCATCTGACAAGGGACTAATATCCAGAATACACAAGGAACTCAACAGTAAAACAAAAACAAAAAACAAATAATCCTATTAAAACAAGTATGAATAAACATTTCTGAAAAGAATACACACATATGGCCAATAGGTATATAAAAAAAAATGCTCAACATCACTAATTATCAGAGGAATGCAAAGCAAAACCACAATGAGATAATCATCTTATCCCAGTTAGAATGGGTATTATTAAAAAGACAAAAAGACAACAGATGTTGGTGAAGATGCAGAGAAAAGGGAACTCATACACTGTTGATGGATTAATACAGCCACTATGGAAAACAGTATGGAAAAAAACTAAAAACAGAATTACCACACAGTCCAGCAATCACTACTGAGTATTTATCCAAAGGAAAATAAATCAACATATCAAAAGGATACATACACTCACGTGTTTATTGCAAAACTATTTGCAATAGCAAAGATATGGAATCAACCTACATGTCCATCAATGAATGAATGATGAAAATGTGGTATGTATACACAACAGAACATTATTTGGTGATTAAAAAAAAAAAAAAAAAAAGAATGAAATCGCCCAGCGTGGTGGCTCATGCCTGTAATCTCAGCACTTTGCGAGGCCGAGGCGGGTGGATCACTTGAGGTTGGATCATGTTGAGACCAGCCTGATCAACATGGAGAAACCCCGTCTCTACTAAAAATACAAAATTAGCCAGGCATGGTGGCGCATGCCTGTAATCCCAGCTACTCGGGAGGCTGAGGCAGGAGAATCACTTGAACCTGGGAGGCAGAGGTTGTGGTGAGCCGAAATCGTGCCATTGCACTCCAGCCTGGGAGACAAGTGCAAAACTCCATCTCAAAAAAAAAAAAAAAAAAAAGAATGAAATCATGTCATTTGCAGCAACATGGATGGATGGAACTGCAGATCATTATGTTAAGTGAAATAAGCAAGGCACATAAAGACAAATATTGCATGTTTTCAGGCACATGTGGGAGCTAAAAGACTTGATTTCATGGAGGTAGAGAGTGTAACGATAGATATCAGAGACCAGGAAGGGTGTGTAGGTGGAAGTGGGGGAGGATGAAGAGAGGGTGGTTAATGAGTACAAACAGTTAGACAATAAAAGTTCTAATGCTCAATAGCACATTAGAGTGACTATAGTTATTAGCAACGATCTACTGATATATTTCAAAATAGCTAGAAGAGAGGCCTTGAAATGTCCCCAACACATAGAAATGATACTCAAGGTGATGGATATCCTCCCTCACAAATAAAACTGGGAAATTAACATTGGTGCAATACCATTAACTAAAGTTCTTATTCGAATTTCACCAGTGTTTCCACTATGTGCAATCCCCCCAATCCCATTCAGAATCCCATGTTGCATTTTGTTGTTATGTCTTTTTAATCCCCTATAGATTCTAAGAGTTCCTTAGTCTACTTGTCTTCCATGACCTTGACAGCTTTGAAGAGTATTTATCTCTCAATTTGGGTTTGTCTGATAGTTTCAAGTGATTGGGCTGGGGTTGTGCCTCTTGGGCAAGAGGACTACAGAAATGATGTGTCCTTCTCAGTGCGTCCTGAGGTTCATAACAACCTTGATTCACTTAGGTAAGGCTGTGTCTGCCAGGTTTCTCCACCATAAAGTTACTATCTTTCCTCCTGTAGTTTACGAATGTCTTAAGGGAGATACCTGGAGATCATGCAAATCCTGCTTCTCCTCCCATTTCTCCTGAAACAGTCATTCACTGATTTTAGCTTCCATCAGTTGTGTCCAGTAAAGTTTACAATAGTAAAAATCAGTCTCTGTGATGGCGTTTTGTGCCTGTGGGGATCAATTGGTGGTCTTGGTAACCACCATGACCACACACAGACCTGTCTGTAATGTCATTTCCTGAAAAGAGAGGAAGAGGAACTGCAACATATTATTCAGTGTCTGGAGTATAACACAAGGCCATATACACAGACGGCTTCCTCTACCTTTTTCTTCCTGATGCTATGAATACAAGACATATTGGCTCCTCAACTCAATAAATTTTAGGCCTTGTTCAGCAACAAACATTCATTCATTTGTAAAACCTGACCTTCTATTCTGTGGCCCTTACCTTCAAAGCATGCTTAGGCTGGCTGTGAATTAATGCAGCATAGAAATCATCATGCAGAACAAGAGGTGCTAGGGTGGGTCAGGTCAGTGGTGGGAGAGCATCTAAACCTTGCAGGAGAGGGGTTCAGAGGGTTGCATAACCCTGGAGGACAGGCAGGAGCCTGTCAGGTAGGCAAGAGAGGAAAGGAAGAGTAACCTATTCCAGTGTATACCCTGAGGCAGGGGAAGGAAACTCAGCTCCATGCAAGAGTGGAACATGATAAAACCCTTCTAATTTTGACACACATGTGGGTTTCTATCGTGCAGCCTGATCATTGCTCCTTTACTCCACAGGGACACCTTCCTATACAAGGTTACACTACTTCTCCTATGTAAGAAGAGATCAGCTGGGGAGCTGCAGGGGAACCCAAGCCATTTACAATAAGCCACCTCAGCATTTATTCATAAATGTGATAAAGATCACTGGACAACTAACAGCATGAAGAAGAAAAAACAAGAAAAATAAGAAAAGTAAAATATACAAACAGGAAGATACAGGTTACTCAAGAAAAAGAACTTAGAAAAAAATCTTAATTAATACCAATAGAGAAATGGGAGGGGAGGTTATATAAGAAAAAACGATTATGAAAGATAACTATAAGGCGGGTGCAGTGGCTCACGTACATAATCTCAGCTCTTTGGGAGGCTGAGGTGGGAGGATTGCTTGAGCCCAGGAGTTTGAGACCAGCCTGGGTGACATGGTGACACCACATCTCTACAAACAAACAAAAAAAATCTAAAAAAATTAGCCAGGCGTGATGATGCACGCTTGTGATCCCAGCTGTTGAGGAGGCTGAGATGGGAGGATCCCTTGAGCCCAGGACTTTGAGGCTGCAGTGAGCCATAATCACGCCACTGCACTCCAGCCTGTGACAGTGGAAGACCCTGTCTAAAAACAAAAAAAATATGAGTTATTGGGGGATTAAAAATATGACTGCTAAAAATAAAATTCACTGAAAGGACTGATAGAACGTACAGAACTACATAGCAACTGCTTGTCATAAGATGAAATTGATGAGTACAGAACAAAAATAAAAAGAAATTGAAATTACAAAAGAGAAAAAAAGGGAAGATAAGTCCAGGGGTTCACCACCCATCAAAACAGAGTTCCAACAAAGGAAGCAAAGAGATTGTAGAAGACTTTTTAAAAAACGTCTGTTTAATAGCTTCCCATTCATCTTAACTGCACTAATTGGAGGCTATAAATACCATGAAGGCAGAGGTGTATCTCTATTTGTTCTCCTCCAGACACTGTATCTGGCACAAAATAGATGCTAAATATTATTTGAATGACTGAACAAATGGACAAATGAGTGAATAAATGTGCAGTTATTTTAATTTTTAAAACTACTTTAAAAAAAATGAAGGTACTCTTAACAATAGTAAATTGGATAATACATTTTTGTATGTTGGTGCAACACTCTGATTTCCCTTCTAGAAAGAACCTGCAACCAGTTCGGTCACAAGAAATAGGATTAGTTAAAAGTCTCTGGATGCAGTGCCTTCAAATCTACTACAATTTTTGAGCTGGGCCACACTCCTCCTGGGCAGCCCCTAGTCAATAGCTGAGCATGCTGGGGTAACAGGACCTGGCTATTACTCCCCAACAAGGAGTAATGCTCTAGTAATGCTTCTCTAATGCTCATTTTTGACCCTTTGCATTGACTGACACTTTGTCAGACCTGCATCACGGTCTGAGGCTCTCCCTGCCTAATCTTCCTTTGTCTCCTCTTTCCTTTGAAGGACTGAAGCCTTTCTCTGCGAAATTATCTTTCACAGACCTAAGTTACTCTCATCCAAGCCCCTAACCACTTGCAGTCCTGTATAGTCTCAGCATCTGCCTCTCAGATGACCCACATGTTTGTTACATGATTGAATAAAGGACTATCTGGCAAAGACAAAAGGTTAGATTTTGAGCAGGGTAGACTATAAAGGGACTAAGAAACCTAGAATTTGGGTAAGAAGCATGAGGCCCTGAAGTTACATAAAGAATTGGGAATGGGACAGAAGGAACAGAAGTTACCTGCAATTTGAAGGTAGACTAGAGATCGTAGGTTGAACACAATGAAGATAAAGGAGGCATCAAAGAAGCTTTAATTTACAGAAGGAGAGCAATGATGAGGAGGGGAAAAAATGGTGAACTCCAAATCTCTCTGCACATGGGTTACAGATGCCAATGAGGTAGCCATCTGGGTAGAGGCAGATTAACAGCTGGTGAGAAATGCAGCCGGAACTAAGGAGAAAGCCTGGGGACAAAGGCGTTTTATTTGGATATAAATGTAGGCTAATCATCTTTTTCCAAAAAGAATTGAGGTCATTAATGATACAGGATATATATAAATCATGCTAATGAAACAGAATAGGAAAATAAAAGATGAAAGTGGAAGCAGATGTGTTAATAATCAAAGCTGTATAGTTGAGCATCAAATTTGGTTCTGGGAGTTGAAGTAAAACTAGACATACAGTGAAACAAAACACACACACAAAATACCTATCATCAGAAAGGCAGGCATTTGGTAGCTACCGGTTTCAACTTCTGGCATCAAATTCTAAAATAAATTTTTCACGTGAACTTTCTAAAGGGGCTGATGAATGACACAATGAAAATGTCTTCATCACCAGCTTTACTGCAAAACAAACTCTGTTTTTATATGACTGGCTCTTAAAAAGATGACCTTTAATAAAGTCAAGTGTTGAACTAGTGTGGTCTTTGATGGCCTATCTTGATTTTAAAATAAAACACATGTAGGAGCAGTTGAAGCCCACGCCCTTTTAAGCAGCTTCCAAAAACCTCTGGCTTGAGAGGCTCAGGCACTGTGAAAGCCTTCCAGATCAGGGTGCAGCTGAGCCACGCTTGCAGCTGAGCCACGCTGGGACTTTGAGATCACAGTGAAGAAAAGAGAGGACCTCTGCTTTCCAAAGAGCAAACACACAAAACCACAATACCTACTACTAGCTTTCTTGCTTCTGGAAGCCCTGAGCAGATAAAAGGACAGCAGCAAAACACACTCCTAGCTTAGCTTCTCAGGAAGGCATTTAGTGCCTCAAATCTCCCTGTGAGGGAATACATAGAGAGCTACCTTCGAATGAATTACATAGATTATATATAAATAGAGTGTTTAAAAATGAAACTACATTGAAAAATACTTCAATAAAAACATGAAAGGCAAGGGCATTAAAACAATTATTATATATGTATAAAAACTTTCACCATTCAATTCATTTTGGCAGAAAATAACTGCTAAATTCAACAGCGTAGAACACAACATGGTTCAGCAGAACAGACTCATTGACCTTGGAGTTTACCATTTATCTGAAATCTAAAACTGTCCACATCAAAAAACTAGAAGTAGAATAATTATATTTAAAGAACACTGAATTGTAAGGCATTCTATGGTACTTTTCTCAAGCCTAATATTTACATAGCAGAAGGATTTTTTAAAAAGCAAAAAAAACTGAATAAACAAAATAAGCACACAATTTTAGAAATATATTTAGCTAATCATATTCCCTGATGTTCTATATGCACTAAAAAATAATCCACTAAAATTTATAACAGCTATTTAATGATGCTTATTTGACAGACTGGAACTTGAAAAACAGCTCTTGATAGCAAAATTGAGAGTATATGAGAGTGCTAAAGCTGTAACTTTAGTACAAATCAAGATAAGTGTGGTATTCTAAAGAAACTATGTTAAAGATGGCTGATTACAAGAGGGTGAGAGGTAAAGACAGAAAACAGCAACTGAAATGTGCTTTGTCTCCTCAATCACTGTTCAACCTGATTTGTATGTGTTTTGGAATGGAGGAGGAGGAGAAGGAAGGTGAACAGTAAGAACAATCAAATCTGGTGGCTTACAGTTATCCAAAGAATATTTAGGTGCATAAGCATTAGTCGTCCCTCTTTTAAGGAATGGGAAAATACTCTTAGATGCGCTTCAGACCAGATACTGTGTTTCTCCTGGGCAGTGTGCAGTAGAGGGAGGCCCTTCCCTATCACAGCATCTTCAGTAACTTGACTTTGAGAGTAACACTCCACCTACCATGAAGACAAGCCTATCAACACTGTTGATCAGTGGAGCAACAAATGCCACTGCCAAGAGCCCATGGGCTCCTCTGTCTTCATTAATGCATTCCTCTCTATAGGATTCAAGGAGAACACACTTCATAGACAATTATACACTCGGTGCAAAATTGAAGAAGTCCTGTGGGGCCACAGAAACCAAGATGAGTAATGGCTTGGAAAGGGTCTCCTCCTCAACAAGCTATGCAGGATATAGGCAACATTATAATTATTCTATAACTTAGTATTTTCCACTTATAAATTTCCTTAGTACTCTGATCATGGTGACTATCTAAATGAAAACAAAAGGCCAGGTACGGTGGCTCACGCTTGTAATACCGCACTTTGGGAGGCCAAGGCAGGCAGATCACTTAAGGCCAGGAGTTTGAGACCAGCCTTGCCAACGTGGTGAAACCCCATCTCTACTAAAAATACAAAAATTAGCTTGGCACAGTGCTGCACACCTGTAATCCCAGCTACCTGGGAGGCTGAGGCACGAGAATCGCTTGAATCCAGGAGGCAAAGATTGCAGTGAGCGGAGATCGTGCCACTGAACTCCAGCGTAGGTGAGAGAGTGAGACTCTGTCTCAATAAATAAATAAATAAATAAATAAATAAATAAATAAATAACACAAAACACATACATACTCAAAGGAAGATAAGTAATTCAGGTTAATCTGAATGCAGCCCTACTGCCTAGTCTGTGCCTCCATAAGGAGGATGTGGCTATCACTTGGACTTCTATCACCAGTACAGATCCACCTTAATGTCCAATGGGCATTAAGTGAGGAACTCAATAAAGTACAAAGAAGTAACATGATGCATGTTAGCTATATTATTACTGTCATTTAATCCTGGTTCTCAATATAAACATACACTCACTAGCAAAATGGCAAAGAGAAGTGGGCATGAGAAAGGACTGGAAAGAAAAGCATCAATGGCATGTTGCTTATTTTACTAAATACAAACAATGGGATTCCTCTACTGATCCAGTATTTTTCCAGCAATGGACCTGGCTTCTATGTTGGACTAAAATAGCCTCTGAAGTCTAAATTTGTAAAATAATGTTTATAAAAACAACATAATAATAAAGTGATTATAGCTTCATCAGCCAAATATGATTTTTACATATAATATCAGCTGTATAGCATACTTTAGTAAAGTACTCCCCCTCCACCCCCTCCCCACCTGAGACTTAGCCACAGTGAAGTCAGGAATGCATTAGGCAGCCAAATGGAAACTACCCGGTGATAAGCGGCTGAGTGACAGCCAGGTCAGCTCTGCCACACCTTGGTGCTAGAGGATAAATTACATCTGACACTGATGTACTCCTTCAACAAGAAGACTTGCTTTAAGGTTCTGATTAGGAAAAATGAGTTAGTCTGCTAATTTCAGTGAATCAAAGTTGTCTATTATAAGACAGAGTTGTTTGTTTAGATATGTTTTATACTATATAAAAGTATAAACAACAATTTTTAAAATGTACAGTTTATACTTTACAGAGCTTAATTTCTGCTCCAAATTTTGTTATCCAGAGCCACTATTTGTGGTATATTATCATACTGTAACAAATTGCCTGTCTGACTTGAAAGTTGTGTGGCCCAAGAAAAGCTCTTACAGTAACCACTCTGTGTAACTGACTTCCACTGAACAACTTCCTGGATTAACCACTGCTCATAATTTCCCTGCAAACCATGCTGACAAATACCCAATGGCACTAGCAGTCTAGTGGGTGATCCCTAGGTGCCATACATACTTTCTGTTCCTGCCAGCTGGACCTCATGCTGACAAAGAGTGAGCTGTTTATACCAATTGACTTGCTATTTTAATTATGAAATTTAATCATGAAAGCTGATGAAATATGAGTACAAAAGATAAACGTTGTTCCTATTAAAAACTAAGGCTTTATACAAACTTAATAAAGGCAAGTCATTAAAAAGAAAGCTGTTGGATTAAATGTGGGCAGGACAGCTATGAAAAAATGAGAAAAAATTTATGAAATCTAAGATTTTGTACTCAGATTATGTTGTTAGTCTCTATGTTTTTATTCTTATGGTTTAGCCTATTAACACAATTAAGAATTTAAAAGAGTAGAATCATTGTCAAAGAAAAGCCCTTGGTCTCACAAGAGTTTGGCAAACATATTCTTATATGTGTTAATGATAATAAAACAGTTTGAATGTATACTTTTTAACAATTCCCTGCTTGAGTTGATATTTTCAATTCACTAGTTCCAATTATGCTGGGTAAAAGGGTATTTTCCATGCTTCAAGTTAGTAACTACTGGATTAGTGGGTATTAGATTTATGAGGTTATTATGAACAAACAGGATTAATCTGGAATCTAGGCATTCACATTTTTATTCCAGACTTTTGAAAGATAAAATACTTTAAGATTCTCCATCTCTTTAACCTAGCAGAGATCAGAGAACAGTGATTAAGAACATGACTCTGTTCAGACAGCCTGGCTCCAACATTTACTAGCTCCATGAGAGTCTTATCACTTAAGCTCCAGTTTTCTCAACTGGAAAATAAGGTTAACAATAGTACCTACCTTCCTGGGCATCAAGAGATTGAAATGAGAAAATGTGGCATAGCAAATGCCTAGTACAGTGCCTGGTACACAGTAAGTACCCAAAATGTTCATTATTATAATAATATTATTATACTGCCTAATAGGAAAAAAGTACCCATTATTACATAAATTAGATTATAACTAATATGTTTCAGTGTCAGTTTTGGGTGGAGGCCATTTTGCCTCCACCTATCGACAGCTCAGACACACCTGCAGAAAATTTGCACAGGTACAGTAAAGCAGGGGTTCTCAGCTAGGGGTTAGTTTACCTCTTAAGAGACATTTGGCAATGCCTGAAGACATTTTAGGCTGTCACAACTAGAGGGAGGAGGAAAACCTACTGGCATTAATAGTGTGGAAGCCAGGGATGCTGCTAAGCATCCTACATCCTACAATACACAGGACAGCCCCCTACTCCACGCTACCCCAACAAAGAATCATCGCACCCCCAAATGCCAAGTTGGCAAGAATGAGAAACCTTGTACCTTAAAGGACAGTGTAACAGAGATGTAATTTCTAAAATATAAACTTCAGAAAATTATTCTGAGAAGATAAATGTTTAAAAATGACATCAGGGTATGCAATACATATTGATTCCAAGACCCACGCTATAGATATGTAGGAATGAGACATGGATGTTTAGTCACGAGACAAGATTGTTTCCGTCAACAAGCCTTCTGGAATGGGACCTATCATGTAGTAATATTAAGATATGCTTTATTCTAAAGCAATTGTTATAAAGCTATGAGTACTATATTTGAAACTAAACTTCACTCATAATTTTAAATACCATTCAATAATTTTAAATAATTTTAAATACCATTCAAAACCCCAAAACAGTGGAAATCAAAACACTGTGAGAATAGCTTGCAGACAGGGAGCCTCTCGCCACAGGCCTCTTCACTTGGCTACAGAGATGACCAATCTAGCTAATGGAACACAGAGGTATGTCCTTCGTGGGTAAGCATCCTGTTTCCTCGTTTGTCTACCTGGATGACTTAAACTCATTCCTTAATTAACGCTGCTCAAAAAGCTTGTAAGGGTTCACTTATACTACTTACTTTTCGGTAAATCACAATGGTCTTTCTTAAAAGTATGAGATAAAACTGTGTATAATCTCAAATATATATGTGTGTATATATGTGTGTATATATGTGTGTGTGTGTACATATATATATATATATATATATATATATATATTTTTTTTTTTTTTTTTTTTTTTTACTCTCCCACTCAAAGAAAAGATTAGAAAGGAAGTGGCCCTTATGTCAAAGGTACTTCTCTCTTCAGTGCCTTTTCTACTCAAAGACCGAGATTTGATTCTTGGCACTGAGACTTATTGGCTCTGTGACTTTTGTCAAATAATGTAATTTGTTTTCACAATACTTCCTGTAAATGGACAGGAATATATTATAATTACCACCTACTGATGACAACATTGAAGCAGCAAAGAAATGATTCCTGTACTTACTGTGGAAGTGATAAAAAATGAAAGTAGCATTAAAACTGTTTTGCAATCCTTAAACAACAGCTATATTTCAAATATTTTCAACTTGGTATATTTATCCCTAAAGGTGACACAGCAAATCTACTGTACAACAAAGACTATAATTTCAATCGCTAAGTCAAAGGGGCTTTTTATTTGTAAAAGTACTATTTAACATACAAGACATTTATATATCTGAAAGGAGAAAGTAACTCAAAAAATGCAAAAAGAAATAAATTGAGCAAATGGTTATTTAGCTATTTTACCATCAAGAAAGATAAGACATGCAAATCTTATGTCACATTGTTAATAAATATCTTAATATACAGTACTTTTCTTCAGAAAGTACTGCAAAAGAAAATGTAAGAAATAAAGGATCTCTACTTACCCTTCTGGTAGAAAAATTTTCTATAATAGTATGCACCCAGATCTACGTGTTCCACGATGTATCTTTTCACTCTATCTAGGTGCAACACCAAGTTCTCCTTGGGCACTTCAAGTACTGCCACTCCTGCATTTGTGCAATGGGAACTAAGGGTAGACTCAAAGGAGGCACTTTCACATCCACTAAAGGAGCCAGAATTTGATTTTGAAAGGCTGATTTTCCTCTCCCCTTCTCCACCTATCTCATTCCGAAAATATGGACAGCTCATTACAAGCTCATTGCTTTTATCATCTCCCTGGTCCATGCTGAGGCTTCCTTTGGAATTCAGGTCCTCTGTGCTGCCCATTGGGGAGCTAAAACTGGCTGAATGAGACAGAGGTCCAGAGACCAAGGATGCCACGGCAGCTGCGGAAGCTCCAGTGGTGGTGTTTCTCCTCTTAATAACATTGTGCCTGTTCATAATTGCCTCATTCAAATCAAATAATATACTCTGGACATCATAGTGGGCAAAGCACTTTGGACATGTCCAGGGCCTGACAGAGTCTTCTGATCGGTTATCTTCAAGATCTGATGACTTCCCAAGTTCTTCACCTTTGGCATTGCGCAATTTACGAAAAATAGATGAGTCTCCAGTTTCAGATTTTGAACGTCGCTTGAGTGGTTTTTCCCTTTCCTTAAAAAGCCTGAGGTTCTCTCTCTGTGAGATAGGCCCGTCTATTACATCCAAAGAGAAACCAGAACCCTTGCCACCACCAGTAATGAGAAAGTCACTGAGCTTGGTTGGAGTTGGACCTCGATCAGATTTGTCATCTTTGTAGCCCTTTAACAAATCAAAAAAGCTTTCTCCAGATGTTCCCTGTTTATCAATTGAAGATGTGCTACCATATTCCCTGTGCAGTGATGGTCCAGTCTTGTATGTAGGTGAGATACATTCATCAAAGCTATCCACATCAAGTTCACTTATGGTGATATCACTGTTGCTTCGCTGGCGTATTCTGCGAAGAGCTTTTCTGGGGGAGCTGGGGTAGGCTTCAGGCATGAGAAATCTGGAGTCCATGTTCTCCGACGGTCTTGTCTTGTTTTTCAGCGTGTTCTGTATGCTTTTCAGCATGGCTGAGTCATTGGAATTGAGGCTAACAGAACTTCCCTGACTCACAGGACTGCTTTTGGAGGACAGGCTATCAAGGCAACTTGAGGTTTCTATTTCCTGGCTTGAACGGCTAGATTCTTTTATGTTTTCCTTTCTTGGGGGCCAATCTGCAATCCTTGCCCTTACCCCCATTTTTGGGACTCCGGGGGTTGAGGTTATATGGTGAGAACCTTCACTTCGGGGGGGTCCTACAGGAGCCATAACTGATGATCCTAAGCTGCCATTTTGGGACCGGAAGCGCCGCATGTAGAAATCATCAGTGTGGACTTTGGGGGTGCCGTCTGTGCCAACAACAGAGGCCCTGTCAGTGGCAAGAGGCCTTTCTGTCTGTGACCGTTTCAAGCTGGTCATGATGTAAAAGCAAGTAGACTTAAATCCCTGCAGCAAGGACCATCATATCTGTGTTTTAAATGTGCACTTCCCTTTTGGAGAATGGCTTCCAGAAAATACAACAGTTGCATGAGATCTTAATCTTTTTCATTTAAAAGGTTAAATGATGCTTTATTTGTAAAGCACTGAAAAATTGGAACTTCTAAACGTTATAATCCACAACAGTTTCTTTGCTTCACTTTAACAGAGGGCTTTCTTTCAGAAAAAACTGAATGGAACTTGTACTACTGAGATTCTGTGGTTGCCATAATCCCATGCTTTCTCTAAAAGAGAAAAGGATAATTTGAATTAGCAGATAAATACATCTAAAAACAAACATGCAATTGTCAAAACCAGACACATGAAGATAAAAGACTCAATAATGGATTAGGATTCACAGTTCCACAATCCGTATTTTTAGTAAAGCAGGTTTGAAAGAAAGGAAGAAAGTAAAAACCATTTGATAAAATCCATAATTTATATTCTAAAAAAAAAAACTATTAAGACTTCATCTTAATTGAACTGTTTCATAAAATGGGGGGCAGGGGGAGGGGTACATCTTGTTCTGGATATCATGGCTCCTACCCAAAGTACAGACTTTTGCTCCAATGACCTCTAAAAATGTAGAACATCATGAGCTACTGTGATGACCAGAAGTTTGAGATGTAACCAAGTGAATAAGATAATTAGAGCAACAGAGTTTTTTGACAAAAGTAAAAACTGAAAAATGACTTTACTGAATATGCTGCAACAATCACTTTTTAACTCCTCTATTCCAAAATCAATACATGTTTTTTGTTTCCTTACAAAGGCTTAACATAGTTGGCAAAAACAAATACAGCAGGAAAAAATAAATAAAAAGAGTTTTCCCAGAGCCATTATATCCATTAGCACTCTTTTGTATTTTCCTCTACTTTATTACTTACCGAGACGAGGATATTGCAGAATGAATCCAGCATTCACCACCACCTCTTCCCAAGCTCTCCTTAGTTTCTTGTACTCTTAAAAGCTAGAAGTATCTCACTAATGAACAAAATGCCTGCATTTCCTCATGCAGTACAACCTACTCCACCCCATCAGTGCTAATTTATGAAGACGGCAGAAACAAAACACAGCTCTGGGTGGCCCTCTCCATATCCCCAACAGATTACAGAGAACTGTTAGCATCCTTCCAGGTGACGGGCATGGAAACAAACTTCCTCATGAGCACGTCAGGCAGAAGGCAGGAGACACAGATTCTGAGTACAAAATTCTGCATGGTTGCGTACATTCTGAAAAGAAAGGCAGAGGCTCCTTTTCCAAGACTCCACAAATTACACAAGAGGTGGCCTTTAAATTCTTGCCAAATACATGTTTGGAAAGATGCTGCTGAACCAGCACTGAGCTGACAGGGCGGCATTGTCTACAAATCACGGCTCTGACACCGGAGGACGACCTGCACTTGCTGCACTCTCCACTCAATGGTAACAAGCACCTACTTCCACGATAATTAAGCATCTCCCTAGTCGGCTTCCTGCCTCCAAGGCAGGCGCTTTCATTTCTCTTGCAGCACACAGCATCACTTTAGAAGACTCGCTGCTATTTAAAGGCTGGAACATGTAGGGGTGTTTCAAAAAAAAAAAAAAAAAATGCATGCTGCCTGCAGAATGCAGGGTGAGGCGAGCTCTGGCTGGGCTCGTGCTGGCTGAGTCTGTGGAGCCATTCAGATAAATGCCATTTGTTTTCACTAGCACTCCTCTTCACCATCTTTTGTAAAAGGGATAATAGTTTTGCACTGCTACCTAATTAAACATGGCTTTTGAGCTTTCTAGATACTTCTACTGTCAGACTGCTATTATTCCCTTTACATTCCAGAACTTTACATGTTCCTCTTTCAATGATAACCCTTCAAGTGACAAAACATGCTAACTGTTGCTTCCGAGGATATCAAAGGACAGCATATATGGCCATAGCAAAGGTTCAAGAAGTGATTCTCATAAAATGGAAGGAAAATTGAACAACTGAACCAAAATGCAAACACCTGTTCAACATCTCCCCAAAAGCTGATTATTTCAATGAATACTCTACATAGCATAAATAATACTTCTAAAGTAGATTTTATAAAAATTAGATGCTTTCAACATTTCTCACAACCTCACAGAAATCCAAATAAATCATCTTTCATTCCCCAAACATTCATTCTCTAAAAGGACAACACACCAATCCCACCATGATAAAAACTCTTGCCACATTTCATGTGCCTTAGAAAATACTTTACTGCACAGCTGTCTTTCCCAGGATATGTGAAGTTATTTCCATTAGAGGAGGAAACTAAAAGCTGGCAGTAAAATACAAGAAATAAAACTGACTTGGAAATGCTCAGTCTCCACCATCAGTATTTCTCTTCCAAACCATCTCATATACTTCCAATATTTTTAATGAGTTTATAAAATCTTATTTTTAAATATAAAAATTTCTTACCAATTCAAAAGAAATTTCAAGACTCCCATTACATTATATAACAACGACTCAATGTTTTCTTTTCATTTCAAAATATAAATAAGCACATGGGAGAGAGAGAAGCCACGTTTTAATGGCTTGTAAAAACTGATGAGGTTCGAGATGGGCAATTATGTTAAATAACAGATTTTTTTTCAGTCATAAGGACCTTCCTTTTCTATGTTTTTTTTTTCTCCCTCTCATTTTCCATCTCCCTCCCTCCCTCCCTCCCTTTTCTCATTCTTATTTATAGCATCAAACCCCTTTGGGGTACAATATAAACTTTGGGCACTGACTAGCATATATGGAAATATACATGCTTTGCACTTATTAAACTACCAGTCAAAAATAATGCTGTCCATCGATGTGTATCATATGATGACAGATCAATAATACCTTCACATCTATTCCTTAGGGTTGACTGAAACAGCAAACCTATGTTGACAATGATCAGCAACTCTCTTAAATATCAGCAAACCTGCCTAAGTACCAATATGGTAAAAAGCAATAGAATTAAACAGAAGAGCAATACGAATTCACAGCATGTCACCTCCATCTGTTGAAAGAGCAGGCTATATAAAAATTTTCCTTATTACATGTTTAATTTTACAGCTCTAGATACTATCTAAGTCTATGGTAGATCCAGGTAGCTAGAATACTAATTCCATCTAGAGGGCCCACAGTTTAGTTCAATGAGTTCAATTCAACTAGTTGAAAGTCTTTTCATCACTCAAGATCTCTCACAACCTAACCCACCATTCTTCCAGAAGAAATGCTTCCTCCTCTCATCCAAATCACCCCCTGTGTTTCTGTAGTGTCTTCAGAGCATGGACCATACATCCACCAGTCCCTCCTTCAAGGAAAGCTCCAGGTGTAGCAGGGAGACACAGACAAGTAAGAAGATGACGGGGGATGCATGGGTCATGCCTCCTTCCTATACACTTTCCATTTTGATTGTAAGCTCTTTAATAACAGAGCTTACAATCTCCTGCTGGGACTAATTGTACCACAGTAGGTCAGCCATTTAGAATATCAAGTCCCTGAGAATGCTGAAAGCAGAACCTCTTATGGGATCTCTTGATTGCCAAAAATCCCTTGTCATTCTGGCTCTGTGAAGCATCTGTACTCCTGAACCCATCCTCCATCCTGAACCTCTCTTTTCTGGACCTCTGTGATAACCATGTGCTTCTTCATTTTCTCTTGCCTCTTTTTGCCCACTACTCAGTCTTTAGTTGGGGTCCATTGAAAAGGTGGTGTCTATGGTTTATCTCTCTTGACATTTTTCATATTTCTGGAAAGGGGTATAAAAGGTATTTCTATCAGGATGCATGTGAGCACTGAGTGTATTAGGATGAGACAGAAGCATGGGTCCACTGGAGTAATAATATCACTGTGGAAAGCAGAGTGTTGATTGGGCTGGCTCACATTTGTCTGTGCAGCTGAACAAAGGCAGAATAATTAAGTTACTGGCTGGAAATCTGCATGGCAACCAGTACTCTGTCTGTTGATACTGTAGGTGCCTGCAGCTTTAAATATCATCTCTATGCTGTTACCTCCAAATCTCTGGTCATGATCTTCTCCACTAAACTTCAGATAAAATAGAGGTAGGTGCTCATTTGACATCTTCTTTATTTACCTATTTTACAATGAAATAACCAACAAGCAGAATAATGAAAAAAATTTTTTTTCAAGAAATGATTAAGTGGTAAGGAAGGGAGCACATTCTATTCCTAATTCAAGGAATAGAATGAAAGAAACAACATCGTGCCAAGGGCATAAAGAGCAGTTTAAAGGTTACAAGAAGAAGATGTGGGAAGGGGGTGGGGTTGGGGGAACACTACAGTTCCTGTTGTGAAAGAATTACAGTGCAATATGGTAGGGTCACCAGAAAGATGTAGCGTTCCTCATAAAATACTTCCACATTCCAAAATGAGATCTTCTCAGATTCTTTAACTGGTACAGCCTAAAATACAACGCCAGCTCTCAATGTTTCAGGGCAGTAGAAGGAACTGTGCTGATGAATAACTATTCAAATGCCCCAATAATTCAGAGATATACACTTCAGAAGTATTTATGAAAATTTCCAGGCCCAGCACAGTGCCTTGTGCCTGTAATCCCAGCACTTTAGAAGGCCAAGGCAGGCAGATGGCTTGAGCCCAAGAATTTGAGACCAGCCTAGGTAACATGGTAATACCCAGGCTCTTAAACAAACAACAAAAAAATAGAAATAGTTTTTGAACTTGTAAACACAGACTTAGAATGCCTGTAAATATTCTTACTTCAGAATGTAATAAAACACTATTTAAAAACAGAAATATAACTTCACAGTACTTGAATATTAGATGAGCTAAGATAATCAAATAAGGCAAACTATTTTCTTTACATCCCTTCTTGGCTTTCCTGAATTCCACTCACATTACATAAAAGTTGCATCTCAGACAGAAGGGATGGCTCACTCTTTCAAGTTAGCCTGAAACACATCTTAGTGCAATGTCATGGATAATTTAAGATTTATGAATCAGCGTAAAACTTTTTAGAATGGAATTTCTACCTCCTTTCATTTCTGTATTCTCCCTTCAACAAAAAGCAGGAAGAGTTGAGAAAAACAGTTGATAAATCTAGTTCCTGCTCTCCTAATGTTCACTCTCTGAAAGAGACAACACTGATGGAAACAAAGTCGAGTCAAAAAAACTTTTGGTAAAATTAACAAAGTGAATAGAAAAGTTATAGATACAAAACATGTAACATGATAAAGCTGTATTTGAATTTAGAGATAAGAAAGCAACTTAAAATGTGCCTGTTTGGACACAGGAAGGATCAAAAAGGAAAATCACATTTCCCTCCCACTCACCCTCGTAGCTAAAAAAGTTCAGTGAAGAAAGTTACGCTTCTAAGGTTTTGTTAAGCTTGAATATAGTTTGTATAGCTGAAGGTGAAGGAAAGAACACAAAAGTTTGGCAGAAAGCTTGAGGGCAGAAGAATGATAAAGAATGCGGGAACAAGTTACGTGGTGGAATAATAATATTATTATTATTACTATTTGAGACAGGGTCTTGCTCTGTCACCCAGGCTGGTGTTTGGTTGTATGATCATGGCTCACTGCAGCCTTGAACTCCCAGGCTCAAGTGATCCTCCCACCTTGGCCTCTTGAGTAGCTAGGACTACAAGCATGCCTCACCATGCTTGGTTAATTTTTAAAATTTTTTGTAGAAACAGGGTATTGCTATGTTGCCCAGGCTGATCTTTAACTCCTGGGTTCAAGGGATCCTACCAAAGTGCTGAGATTACAGGAGTAAGCCAGTGCACCCAACCCATGGTGGAATAATTGGTAAGTAGTAAATTGATGCAACAGCTGGCAAAATGAAGGAGAACAGAAGTACATGTCAATGTTTATCTCTTACATTTAAATATGACTAATCTCATGCAATAAGCACATAATAAAATATCAAAGACCTAAGTTGGGACAGCTTAAAGTAGGAAGGGCAAAAGGAGTAAAAGGTAGTAAGTAGAAAGGTAAAAGTGAAACAGAATTATTAGAGGAAAATAGTGTTTGAGGTGTGATAAGTTATAATAACACTTTAAAGGAAAACAAACCAAAAGCTCACTAACTTATTGGGGGCATTGAGAGTTTCCATGCCTGCCATCAGGATAGCAAGAGACCAGATGAGACCGAAGAAGTAAATGAGTGTTTTTATCATAATAATTGTATGATAAAATACAACTGTCATACATTTAAAATACATTAAAAAAACTTATTCACCCAATACTGTAAATTGAACAACTGATTATCAAATCAAATCTGGTATTAAATAACTTATTACCAAATATATCTGGGGAAAGAGGAATGTGAGAAATAGATGCCCCGGGACAACCAGTAAGTATCCAGCACACGGGGTAAGTGCTTGTCCTTTTTCCCAAACTATGCTCAAATTCAAGAAACCCACAGAAAAAGCATTCTATAATTAAA